>NC_000020.11:28508997-28556953 GCF_000001405.40 Homo sapiens | reverse complement strand
TCTGTCAACTTTTTATGGGAAGATATCCCTTTTTCACCCTAAGTCTCAAATCACTCCAAATGTCCACTTGCAGATTCTACAAAAAGAATGTCTCAAAACTGCTGTGTGAAAAGGAAGGTACAACTCTGTGAGTTGAATGCGAACTTCATAAAGAACTTTCTGAGAATGCTTCTGTCTAGTTCTTATGTGTAGATATTCCCGTTTCCAATGAAAGCCTCAAAGCTATCCAAATATCCACTTGAAGATTCTAACAAAAAGAGTGTTTCAAAACTGCTGCATCAAAACCACGTTTCAAATCTGTGAGTTGACTACACATATCACAAAGCAGTTTCTGAGAATGCTTCTGTCTAATTTTTAGGTGAAGATATTGCCTTTTTCACCATAGGCCTCGAATCGCTCCAAACGTCCACTTCCAGATACCACAAAAAGATTGTTTCAGAACTGCTCTATCAAAAGAGAGCTTCAACTCTGGGAGTTGAATGCACACATCACAACGAAGTTTCTGAGAATGCTTCTGTCTAGTTTTATGTGAAGATATTCCCGTTTCCAATGAAGGCCTCACAGCAGGCTAAATACCCATTTGCAGATTCTACAAAAAGCGAGTTTCAAAACTTCTGTTTCAAAAGAAAAGTTCAACTCTGTGAGTTGAGTACACACATCACAAAGTAGTTACTGAGAATTCTTCTGTCTACTTTTTATGGGAAGATATTCCCTTTTTCACCATAGGCCTCGAAGCGCTCCAAGTTTCCACTTACAGATTCTAGAAAAAGAGAGTTTCAAAACTGCTGTATGGAACGGAAAGTTCAACTCTGTGAGTTGAATGCAAACTTCATAGAGAAGTTTCTGAGAATGCTTCTGTCTAGTTTTTATGTGAAGATATTCCCGTTTCCAATCAAAGCCTCAAAGCTATCCAAATAACCACTTGCAGATTCTACAAAAAGAGTGTTTCAAAAGTGCTGTATCAAAAGAAAGGTTCAACTCTATGAGTTGACTACACACATCACAAAGAAGTTTCTGAGAATGCTTCTGTCTAGTTTTTAGGTGAGGATATTTCCTTTTTCACCCTAGGCCTCAAAGCGCTCCAAAGGTCCACTTCCAGATACTACAAAAAGAGTGTTTGAAAACTGCTGTATGAAAGGGAATGTTCAACTCAGTGAGTTGAATGCAAGCATCACAAAGAAGTTTCTGAGAATGCTTCTTTCTAGTTTTTATGGGAAGATATTCCCGTTTCCAATGAAATCCTCAAAGCTATCCATATATGCACTTGCAGACTCTACAAAAAGAGGGTTTCAAATCTGATCTATGAGAAGATAAGTTCAACTCTGTGAGTTGAGTACACACATAACCAAGAAGTTTCAGAGAATGCTTCTGTCTAGTTTTTATGTGAAGATATTTCCTTTTTCACCCTAGGCCTGAAAGTGCTCCAAATGTCCACTTCCAGATACTACAAAAAGAGTGTTTCAAATCTGCTCTATGAATGGGAATGTTCTACTCTGTGACTTGAATGCAACATCCCAAAGAAGTTTCTGAGAATGCTTCTGTCTAGTGTTTATGTGAAGATACACTCGTTTCCAGGGAAGGCCTCAAAGCTGTCCAGATATCCACTTGCAAATTCTACAAAAAGAGGGCTTCCAATCTGCTCTATCAAAAGAAAGTTTCAACTCTGTGAGTTGAATGCACACATTACAAAGGACTTTCTGAGAATGCTTCTGTCTACTTTTATGTGAAGATATTCCGTTTCCGATGAATTCCTCACTGCTGTCCTTATATCCGCTTGTAAATTCTCCAAGAAGAGTGTTTCCAAACTGCTGTATCAAAGGAAAGGTTTAACTCTGTGAGTTGAGTACACATATCAGAAAGTCGTTTCTGAGAATGCTTCTGTCAACTTTTTATGGGAAGATATCCCTTTTTCACCCTAAGTCTCAAATCACTCCAAATGTCCACTTGCAGATTCTACAAAAAGAATGTCTCAAAACTGCTGTGTGAAAAGGAAGGTACAACTCTGTGAGTTGAATGCGAACTTCATAAAGAACTCTCTGAGAATGCTTCTGTCTAGTTCTTATGTGTAGATATTCCCGTTTCCAATGAAAGCCTCAAAGCTATCCAAATATCCACTTGAAGATTCTAACAAAAAGAGTGTTTCAAAACTGCTGCATCAAAACCACGTTTCAAATCTGTGAGTTGACTACACATATCACAAAGCAGTTTCTGAGAATGCTTCTGTCTAATTTTTAGGTGAAGATATTGCCTTTTTCACCATAGGCCTCAAATCGCTCCAAACGTCCACTTCCAGATACCACAAAAAGATTGATTCAGAACTGCTCTATCAAAAGAGAGCTTCAACTCTGGGAGTTGAATGCACACATCACAACGAAGTTTCTGAGAATGCTTCTGTCTAGTTTTATGTGAAGATATTCCCGTTTCCAATGAAGGCCTCAAAGCAGGCTAAATACCCATTTGCAGATTCTACAAAAAGAGTGTTTCAAAACTTCTCTTTCAAAAGAAAAGTTCAACTCTGTGAGTTGAGTACACACATCACAAAGTAGTTACTGAGAATTCTTCTGTCTACTTTTTATGGGAAGATATTCCCTTTTCCACCATAGGCCTCGAAGCGCTCCAAGTTTCCACTTACAGATTCTAGAAAAAGAGAGTTTCAAAACTGCTGTATGGAACGGAAACTTCAACTCTGTGAGTTGAATGCAAACTTCATAAAGAAGTTTCTGAGAATGCTTCTGTCTAGTTTTTCTGTGAAGATATTCCCGTTTCCAATCAAAGCCTCAAAGCTATCCAAATAACCACTTGCAGATTCTACAAAAAGAGTGTTTCAAAAGTGCTGTATCAAAAGAAATGTTCAACTCTGTGAGTTGACTACACACATCACAAAGAAGTTTCTGAGAATGCTTCTCTCTAGTTTTTAGGTGAGGATATTTCCTTTTTCACCCTAGGCCTCAAAGCACTCCAAATGTCCACTTCCAGACACTACAAAAAGAGTGTTTCCAAACTGCTGTATGAAAGGGAATGTTCAACACTGTGAGTTGAATGCAAGCATCACAAAGAAATTTCTGAGAATGCTTCTTTCTAGTTTTTATGGGAAGATATTCCCGATTCCAATGAAATCCTCAAAGCTATCCAAATATGCACTTGCAGACTCTACAAAAAGAGGGTTTCAAATCTGATCTATGAGAAGATAAGTTCAACTCTGTGAGTTGAGTACACACATCACAAAGAAGTTTCAGAGAATGCTTCTGTCTAGTTTTTATGTGAAGATATTTCCTTTTTCACCCTAGGCCTCAAAGTGCTCCAACTGTCCACTTCCAGATACTACAAAAAGAGTGTTTCAAAACTGCTCTAGGAAAAGAAATGTTCAATTCTGTGAGTTGAATGCAAGCATCACCAACAAGTTTCTGAGGATGCTTCTGTCTAGTGTTTATGTGAGGATACACTCGTTTCCAGGGAAGGCCTCAAAGCTGTCCAGATATCCACTTGCAAATTCTACAAAAAGAGGGCTTCCAATTTGCTCTATCAAAAGAAAGTTTCAACTCTGTGAGTTGAATGCACACATTACAAAGAACTTTCTGAGAATGCTTCTGTCTACTTTTATGTGAAGATATTCCGTTTCCGATGAATTCCTCACTGCAGTCCTTATATCCGCTTGTAAATTCTACAAGAAGAGTGTTTCCAAACTGCTGTATCAAAGGAAAGGTTTAACTCTGTGAGTTGAGTACACAAATCAGAAAGTCGTTTCTGAGAATGCTTCTGTCAACTTTTTATGGGAAGATATCCCTTTTTCACCCTAAGTCTCAAATCACTCCAAATGTCCACTTGCAGATTCTACAAAAAGAATGTCTCAAAACTGCTGTGTGAAAAGGAAGGTACAACTCTGTGAGTTGAATGCGAACTTCATAAAGAACTTTCTGAGAATGCTTCTGTCTAGTTCTTATGTGTAGATATTCCCGTTTCCAATGAAAGCCTCAAAGCTATCCAAATATCCACTTGAAGATTCTAACAAAAAGAGTGTTTCAAAACTGCTGCATCAAAACCAAGTTTCAAATCTGTGAGTTGACTACACATATCACAAAGCAGTTTCTGAGAATGCTTCTGTCGAATTTTTAGGTGAAGATATTGCCTTTTTCACCATAGGCCTCGCATCGCTCCAAACGTCCACTTCCAGATACCACAAAAAGATTGTTTCAGAACTGCTCTATCAAAAGAGAGCTCCAACTCTGGGAGTTGAATGCACACATCACAACGAAGTTTCTGAGAATGCTTCTGTCTAGTTTTATGTGAAGATATTCCCGTTTCCAATGAAGGCCTCAAAGCAGGCTAAATACCCATTTGCAGATTCTACAAAAAGAGTGTTTCAAAACTTCTCTTTCAAAAGAAAAGTTCAACTCTGTGAGTTGAGTACACACATCACAAAGTAGTTACTGAGAATTCTTCTGTCTACTTTTTATGGGAAGATATTTCCTTTTCCACCATAGGCCTTAAAGCACTCCAAGTTTCCACTTACAGATTCTACAAAAAGAGTGTTTCAAAACTGTTCTATGAAAGGGAATGTTCAACTCTGTGAGTTGAATGCAAACTTCATAAAGAAGTTTCTGAGAATGCTTCTGTCTAGTTTTTATGTGAAGATATTCCCGTTTCCAATCAAAGCCTCAAAGCTATCCAAATAACCACTTGCAGATTCTACAAAAAGAGTGTTTCAAAAGTGCTGTATCAAAAGAAAGGTTCAACTCTGTGAGTTGACTACACACATCACAAAGAAGTTTCTGAGAATGCTTCTGTCTAGTTTTTAGGTGAGGATATTTCCTTTTTCACCCTAGGCCTCAAAGCGCTCCAAAGGTCCACTTCCAGATACTACAAAAAGAGTGTTTGAGAACTGCTGTATGAAAGGGAATGTTCAACTCAGTGAGTTGAATGTAAGCATCACAAAGAAGTTTCTGAGAATGCTTCTGTCTAGTTTTTATGGGAAGATATTCCCATTTCCAACGAAATCCTCAAACCTATTCAAATATGCACTTGCAGACTCTACAAAAAGAGGGTTTCAAATCTGATCTATGAGAAGAAAAGTTCAACCCAGTGAGTTGAGTACACCCATCACAAAGAAGTTTCAGAGAATGCTTCTGTCTAGTTTTTATGTGAAGATATTTCCTTTTTCACCATAGACCTCAAAGCGCTCCAAATGTCCAATTCCAGATACTACAAAAAGAGTGTTTCAAAACTGCTCTATGAAAAGAAATGTTCAACTCTGTGAGTTGAATTCAAGCATCACAAACAAGTTTCTGAGGATGCTTCTGTCTAGTGTTTATGTGAAGATACACTAGTTTCCAGGGAAGGCCTCAAAGCTGTCCAGATATCCACTTGCAAATTCTACAAAAAGAGGGCTTCCAATCTGCTCTATCAAAAGAAAGTTTCAACTCTGTGAGTTGAATGCACACATTACAAAGGACTTTCTGAGAATGCTTCTGTATTGTTTTTATGTGAAGATATTTCCTTTTCTACCATAGGTCTAAAAGCTTTCTAGCATCCACTTGCGGATTCTACAAAAAGAGTGTTTCAAAACTGCTCTATGAAAAGGAATGTTCAACTCAGTGAGTTAAATGCAAGCATCACAAAGAAGTTTCTGAGAATGCTTCTGTCTAGTTTTTATGTGAAGATATTCCCGTTTCCAATGAAAGCTTCAAAGCTATCCAAATATCCACTTGCAGATTCTACAAAAAGAGTGTTTCAAAACTGCTGTATCAATAGAAAGGTTCAACTCTGTGAGTTGAGTACACACATCAAAAAGAAGTTTCTGAGAATTCTTCTGTCTAGTTTTTATGCGAAGATATTTCCTTTTTCACCATAGGCCTCTAAGCGCTCCAAACGTCCCCTTACAGATTCTACAAAAAGAGTGTTTCAAAACTGCTCTATGAAAGGGAATGTTCAACTCTGTGAGTTGAATGCAAACGTCCAGAGGAAGTTTCTCAGAATGCTTCTGTCTAGTTTTATGTGAAAATATTCCCGTTTCTAACGAAATCCTCAATGCTCTCCTAATATCCACTTGTAAATTCTACAAGAAGAGTTTTTCAAAACTGCTGTATCAAAGGAAAGGTTTAACTCTGTTACCTGAGTACACACATCACGAAGTAGTTTCTGAGAATGCTTCCGTCTACTTTTTATGGGAAGATATCCCTTTTTCACCCTATGTCTCAAATCACTCCAAATGTCCACTTGCAGATTCTACAAAAAGAATGTCTCAAAACTGCTGTGTGAAAAGGAAGGTACAACTCTGTGAGTTGAATGCGAACTTCATAAAGAACTTTCTAAGAATGCTTCTGTCTAGTTCTTATGTGTAGATATTCCCGTTTCCAATGAAAGCCTCAAAGCTATCCAAATATCCACTTGAAGATTCTAACAAAAAGAGTGTTTCAAAACTGCTGCATCAAAACCACGTTTCAAATCCGTGAGTTGACTACACATATCACAAAGCAGTTTCTGAGAATGCTTCTGTCTAATTTTTAGGTGAAGATATTGTCCTTTTCACCATAGGCCTCGAATCGCTCCAAACGTCCACTTCCAGATACCACAAAAAGATTGTTTCAGAACTGCTCTATCAAAAGAGAGCTTCAACTCTGGGAGTTGAATGCACACATCACAACGAAGTTTCTGAGAATGCTTCTGTCTAGTTTTATGTGAAGATATTCCCGTTTCCAATGAAGGCCTCAAAGCAGGCTAAATACCCATTTGCAGATTCTACAAAAAGAGTGTTTCAAAACTTCTCTTTCAAAAGAAAAGTTCAACTCTGTGAGTTGAGTACACACATCACAAAGTAGTTACTGAGAATTCTTCTGTCTACTTTTTAGGGGAAGATATTCCCTTTTTCACCATAGGCCTCGAAGCGCTCCAAGTTTCCACTTACAGATTCTAGAAAAAGAGAGTTTCAAAACTGCTGTATGGAACGGAAAGTTCAACTCTGTGAGTTGAATGCAAACTTCATAAAGAAGTTTCTGAGAATGCTTCTGTCTAGTTTTTATGTGAAGACATTGCCGTTTCCAGTGAAAGCCTCAAAGCTATCAAAATAACCACTTGCAGATTCTACAAAAAGAGTGTTTCAAAACTGCTGTATCAAAAGAAAGGTTCAACTCTGTGAGTTGACTACACACACCACAAAGATGTTTCTGAGAATGCTTCTCTCTAGTTTTTAGGTGAGGATATTTCCTTTTTCACCCTAGGCCTCAAAGCACTCCAAATGTCCACTTCCAGACACTACAAAAAGAGTGTTTCCAAACTGCTGTATGAAAGGGAATGTTCAACACTGTGAGTTGAATGCAAGCATCACAAAGAAATTTCTGAGAATGCTTCTTTCTAGTTTTTATGGGAAGATATTCCCGATTCCAATGAAATCCTCAAAGCTATCCAAATATGCACTTGCAGACTCTACAAAAAGAGGGTTTCAAATCTGATCTATGAGAAGATAAGTTCAACTCTGTGAGTTGAGTACACACATCACAAAGAAGTTTCAGAGAATGCTTCTGTCTAGTTTTTATGTGAAGATATTTCCTTTTTCACCCTAGGCCTCAAAGTGCTCCAACTGTCCACTTCCAGATACTACAAAAAGAGTGTTTCAAAACTGCTCTAGGAAAAGAAATGTTCAATTCTGTGAGTTGAATGCAAGCATCACCAACAAGTTTCTGAGGATGCTTCTGTCTGGTGTTTACGTGAAGATACACTCGTTTCCAGGGAAGGCCTCAAAGCTGTCCAGATATCCACTTGCAAATTCTACAAAAAGAGGGCTTCCAATCTGCTCCATCAAAAGAAAGTTTCAACTCTGTGAGTTGAATGCACACATTACAAAGAACTTTCTGAGAATGCTTCTGTCTACTTTTATGTGAAGATATTCCGTTTCCGATGAAATCCTCACTGCTGTCCTTATATCCGCTTGTAAATTCTACAAGAAGAGTGTTTCCAAACTGCTGTATCATAGGAAAGGTTTAACTCTGTGAGTTGAGTACACAAATCAGAAACTCGTTTCTGAGAATGCTTCTGTCTACTTTTTATGAGAAGATATTCCTTTTTCACCCTATGTCTCAAATCACTCCAAATGTCCACTTGCAGAATCTACAAAAAGAATGTCTCAAAACTGCTGTGTGAAAAGGAAGGTACAACTCTGTGAGTTGAATGCGAACTTCATAAAGAACTTTCTGAGAATGCTTCTGTCTAGTTCTTATGTGTAGATATTCCCGTTTCCAATGAAAGCCTCAAAGCTATCCAAATATCCACTTGAAGATTCTAACAAAAAGAGTGTTTCAAAACTGCTGCATCAAAACCAAGTTTCAAATCTGTGAGTTGACTACACATATCACAAAGCAGTTTCTGAGAATGCTTCTGTCTAGTTTTTATGTGAAGATATTTCCTTTTTCACCATAGGCCTCGAAGCACTCCTAATGTCCACTTCCAGATACTACAAAAAGAGTGTTTCAGAACTGCTCTATCAAAAGAAAGGTTCAACTCGGTGAGTTGAATGCACACATCACAACGAAGTTTCTGAGAATGTTTCTCTCTAGTTTTTATGTGAAGATATTCCCGTTTCCATGGAAGGCCTCAAAGCAGGTTAAACATCCACTTGCAGATTCTACGAAAAGAGTGTTTCAAAACTTCTCTTTCAAAAGAAAAGTTCAACTCTGTGAGTTGAGTACACACATCACAAAGTAGTTACTGAGAATTCTTCTGTCTAGTTTTTATGCAAAGATATTTCCTTTTTCACCATAGGCGTAAAAGTGCTCCTTCAAAAATAGTGTTTCAAAACTGCTCTATGAAAAGAAATGTTCAACTCTGTGAGTTGAATGCAAACTTCATAAAGAAGTTTCTGAGAATGCTTCTGTCTAGTTTTTATATGAAGATATTCCCGTTTCCAAAGAAAGACTCAAAGCTATCCAAATAACCACTTGCAGATTCTACAAAAAGAGTGATTCAAAACTGCTGTATCAAAAGAAAGGTTCAACTCCGTGAGTTGACTACACACATCACAAAGAAGTTTCTGAGAATGCTTCTGTCTAGTTTTTATATGAGGATATTTCCTTTTTCACCTTAGGCCTCAAAGCGCTCCAAATGCCCATTTCCAGATACTACCAAAAGAGTGTTTCAAAACTGCTTTATGAAAGGGAATGTTCAACTCTGTGAGTTGAATGCAAACATCACAAAAAAACTTCCTGAGAATGCTTCTTTCTAGTTTTTATGGGAAGATATTCCCGTTTCCAATGAAATCCTCAAAGCTATCCATATATGCACTTGCAGACTCTACAAAAAGAGGGTTTCAAATCTGATCTATGAGAAGATAAGTTCAACTCTGTGAGTTGAGTACACACATAACCAAGAAGTTTCAGAGAATGCTTCTGTCTAGTTTTTATGTGAAGATATTTCCTTTTTCACCCTAGGCCTCAAAGTGCTCCAACTGTCCACTTCCAGATACTACAAAAAGAGTGTTTCAAAACTGCTCTAGGAAAAGAAATGTTCAATTCTGTGAGGTGAATGCAAGCATCACCAACAAGTTTCTGAGGATGCTTCTGTCTAGTGTTTATGTGAAGATACACTCGTTTCCAGGGAAGGCCTCAAAGCTGTCTAGATATCCACTTGCAAATTCTACAAAAAGAGGGATTCCTATCTGCTCTATCAAAAGAAAGTTTCAACTCTGTGAGTTGAATGCACACATTACACAGAACTTTCTGAGAATGCTTCTGTCTACTTTTATGTGAAGATATTCCGTTTCCGATGAAATCCTCACTGCTGTCCTTATATCCGCTTGTAAATTCTACAAGAAGAGTGTTTCCAAACTGCTGTATCATAGGAAAGGTTTAACTCTGTGAGTTGAGTACACAAATCAGAAACTCGTTTCTGAGAAGGCTTCTGTCTACTTTTTATGAGAAGATATTCCTTTTTCACCCTATGTCTCAAATCACTCCAAATGTCCACTTGCAGAATCTACAAAAAGAATGTCTCCAAACTGCTGTGTGAAAAGGAAGGTACAACTTCTGTGAGTTGAATGCGAACTTCATAAAGAACTTTCTGAGAATGCTTCTCTCTAGTTCTTATGTGTAGATATTCCCGTTTCCAATGAAAGCCTCAAAGCTATCCAAATATCCACTTGAAGATTCTAACAAAAAGAGTGTTTCAAAACTGCTGCATCAAAACCAAGTTTCAAATCTGTGAGTTGACTACACATATCACAAAGCAGTTTCTGAGAATGCTTCTGTCTAATTTTTAGGTGAAGATATTGCCTTTTTCACCATAGGCCTCGAATCGCTCCAAACGTCCACTTCCAGATACCACAAAAAGATTGTTTCAGAACTGCTCTATCAAAAGAGAGCTTCAACTCTGGGAGTTGAATGCACACATCACAACGAAGTTTCTGAGAATGCTTCTGTCTAGTTTTATGTGAAGATATTCCCGTTTCCAATGAAGGCCTCAAAGCAGGCTAAATACCCATTTGCAGATTCTACAAAAAGAGTGTTTCAAAACTTCTCTTTCAAAAGGAAAGTTCAACTCTGTGAGTTGAGTACACACATCACAAAGTAGTTACTGAGAATTCTTCTGTCTACTTTTTATGGGAAGATATTCCCTTTTTCACCATAGGCCTCGAAGCGCTCCAAGTTTCCACTTACAGATTCTAGAAAAAGAGAGTTTCAAAACTGCTGTATGGAACGGAAACTTCAACTCTGTGAGTTGAATGCAAACTTCATAGAGAAGTTTCTGAGAATGCTTCTGTCTAGTTGTTACTTGAAGATATTCCCGTTTCCAACGAACCCTCAAAGCTATCCATATATCCACTTGCAGATTCTATAAAAAGTGTGTTACAAAAATGCTGTATCTAAAGAAAGGTTCAACTCTATGAGTTGAGTACAGACAGCACAAAGAAGTTTCTGAGTAAGCTTCTCTCTAGTTTTTAGGTGAAGATATTTCCTTTTTCACCTTTGGCCTCAAAGTGCTCCAAATTTCCAATTCCAGATACTTCAAGAAGAGTGTTTCAAAACTGCTCTATGAAAAGGAATGTTGAACTCTGTGAGTTGAATGCAAGCATCACAAAGAAGTTTCTGAGAATGATTCTGTCTAGTTTTTATGGGAAGATATTCCCATTTCCAACGAAATCCTCAAACCTATTCAAATATGCACTTGCAGACTCTACAAAAAGAGGGTTTCAAATCTGATCTATGAGAAGAAAAGTTCAACCCAGTGAGTTGAGTACACCCATCACAAAGAAGTTTCAGAGAATGCTTCTGTCTAGTTTTTATGTGAAGATATTTCCTTTTTCACCATAGACCTCAAAGTGCTCCAAATGTCCAATTCCAGATACTACAAAAAGAGTGTTTCAAAACTGCTCTATGAAAAGAAATGTTCAACTCTGTGAGTTGAATTCAAGCATCACAAACAAGTTTCTGAGGATGCTTCTGTCTAGTGTTTATGTGAAGATACACTCGTTTCCAGGGAAGGCCTCAAAGCTGTCCAGATATCCACTTGCAAATTCTACAAAAAGAGGGCTTCCAATCTGCTCTATCAAAAGAAAGTTTCAACTCTGTGAGTTGAATGCACACATTACAAAGGACTTTCTGAGAATGCTTCTGTCTACTTTTATGTGAAGATACTCCGTTTCCGATGAAATCCTCACTGCTGTCCTTATATCCGCTTGTAAATTCTACAAGAAGAGTGTTTCCAAAATGCTGTATCAAAGGAAAGGTTTAACTCTGTGAGTTGAGTACACAAATCAGGAAGTCGTTTCTGAAGATGCTTCTGTCAACTTTTTATGGGAAGATATCCCTTTTTCACCCTAAGTCTCAAATCACTCCAAATGTCCACTTGCAGATTCTACAAAAAGAATGTCTCAAAACTGCTGTGTGAAAAGGAAGGTACAACTCTGTGAGTTGAATGCGAACTTCATAAAGAACTTTCTGAGAATGCTTCTGTCTAGTTCTTATGTGTAGATATTCCCGTTTCCAATGAAAGCCTCAAAGCTATCCAAATATCCACTTGAAGATTCTAACAAAAAGAGTGTTTCAAAACTGCTGCATCAAAACCAAGTTTCAAATCTGTGAGTTGACTACACATATCACAAAGCAGTTTCTGAGAATGCTTCTGTCTAATTTTTAGGTGAAGATATTGCCTTTTTCACCATAGGCCTCGAATCGCTCCAAACGTCCACTTCCAGATACCACAAAAAGATTGTTTCAGAACTGCTCTATCCAAAGAGAGCTTCAACTCTGGGAGTTGAATGCACACATCACAACGAAGTTTCTGAGAATGCTTCTGTCTAGTTTTATGTGAAGATATTCCCGTTTCCAATGAAGGCCTCAAAGCAGGCTAAATACCCATTTGCAGATTCTACAAAAAGAGTGTTTCAAAACTTCTCTTTCAAAAGAAAAGTTCAACTCTGTGATTTGAGTACACACATCACAAAGTAGTTACTGAGAATTCTTCTGTCTACTTTTTATGGGAAGATATTCCCTTTTTCACCATAGGCCTCGAAGCGCTCCAAGTTTCCACTTACAGATTCTAGAAAAAGAGAGTTTCAAAACTGCTGTATGGAACGGAAACTTCAACTCTGTGAGTTGAATGCAAACTTCATAAAGAAGTTTCTGAGAATGCTTCTGTCTAGTTTTTCTGTGAAGATATTCCCGTTTCCAATCAAAGCCTCAAAGCTACCAAAATAACCACTTGCAGATTCTACAAAAAGAGTGTTTCAAAAGTGCTGTATCAAAAGAAAGGTTCAACTCTATGAGTTGACTACACACATCACAAAGAAGTTTCTGAGAATGCTTCTGTCTAGTTTTTAGGTGAGGATATTTCCTTTTTCACCCTAGGCCTCAAAGCGCTCCAAAGGTCCACTTCCAGATACTACAAAAAGAGTGTTTGAGAACTGCTGTATGAAAGGGAATGTTCAACTCAGTGAGTTGAATGGAAGCATCACAAAGGAGTTTCTGAGAATGCTTCTTTCTAGTTTTTATGGGAAGATATTCCCGTTTCCAATGAAATCCTCAAAGCTATCCAAATATGCACTTGCAGACTCTACAAAAAGAGGGTTTCAAATCTGATCTATGAGAAGATAAGTTCAACTCTGTGAGTTGAGTACACACATAACCAAGAAGTTTCAGAGAATGCTTCTGTCTAGTTTTTATGTGAAGATATTTCCTTTTTCACCCTAGGCCTCAAAGTGCTCCAAATGTCCACTTCCAGATACTACAAAAAGAGTGTTTCAAAACTGCTCTAGGAAAAGAAATGTTCAATTCTGTGAGTTGAATGCAAGCATCACCAACAAGTTTCTGAGGATGCTTCTGTCTAGTGTTTATGTGAAGATACACTCGTTTCCAGGGAAGGCCTCAAAGCTGTCCAGATATCCACTTGCAAATTCTACAAAAAGAGGGCTTCCAATCTGCTCCATCAAAAGAAAGTTTCAACTCTGTGAGTTGAATGCACACATTACAAAGAACTTTCTGAGAATGCTTCTGTCTACTTTTATGTGAAGATATTCCATTTCCGATGAATTCCTCACTGCTGTCCTTATATCCGCTTGTAAATTCTACAAGAAGAGTGTTTCCAAACTGCTGTATCAAAGGAAAGGTTTAACTCTGTGAGTTGAGTACACAAATCAGAACGTCGTTTCTGAGAATGCTTCCGTCTATTTTTATGGGAAGATATCCCTTTTTCACCCTATGTCTCAAATCACTCCAAATGTCCACTTGCAGATTCTACAAAAAGAATGTCTCAAAACTGCTGTGTGAAAAGGAAGGTACAACTCTGTGAGTTGAATGCGAACTTCATAAAGAACTTTCTGAGAATGCTTCTGTCTAGTTCTTATGTGTAGATATTCCCGTTTCCAATGAAAGCCTCAAAGCTATCCAAATATCCACTTGAAGATTCTAACAAAAAGAGTGTTTCAAAACTGCTGCATCAAAACCACGTTTCAAATCTGTGAGTTGACTACACATATCACAAAGCAGTTTCTGAGAATGCTTCTGTCTAATTTTTAGGTGAAGATATTGCCTTTTTCACCATAGGCCTCGAATCGCTCCAAACGTCCACTTCCAGATACCACAAAAAGATTGTTTCAGAACTGCTCTATCAAAAGAGAGGTTCAACTCTGGGAGTTGAATGCACACATCACAACGAAGTTTCTGAGAAAGCTTCTGTCTAGTTTTATGTGAAGATATTCCCGTTTCCAATGAAGGCCTCAAAGCAGGCTAAATACCCATTTGGAGATTCTACAAAAAGAGTGTTTCAAAACTTCTCTTTCAAAAGAAAAGTTCAACTCTGTGAGTTGAGTACACACATCACAAAGTAGTTACTGAGCATTCTTCTGTCTACTTTTTATGGGAAGATATTCCCTTTTTCACCATAGGCCTCGAAGCGCTCCAAGTTTCCACTTACAGATTCTAGAAAAAGAGAGTTTCAAAACTGCTGTATGGAACGGAAACTTCAACTCTGTGAGTTGAATGCAAACTTCATAAAGAAGTTTCTGAGAATGCTTCTGTCTAGTTTTTTTGTGAAGATATTCCCGTTTCCAATCAAAGCCTCAAAGCTATCCAAATAACCACTTGCAGATTCTACAAAAAGAGTGTTTCAAAAGTGCTGTATCAAAAGAAAGGTTCAACTCTGTGAGTTGACTACACACATCACAAAGAAGTTTCTGAGAATGCTTCTCTCTACTTTTCATGTGAAGATATTTCCTCTTTCACCATAGGAGTCAAATCGCTCAATATGTCCACTTGCAGATAATACAAAAGGAAAGTTTCAAAACTCCTCTATGAAAAGGAATGTTCAACTCGGTGAGTTGAATGCAAACATCACAAAGTAGTTTCTGAGAATGCTTCTTTCTAGTTTTTATGGGAAGATATTCCCGTTTCCAATGAAATCCTCAAAGCTATCCAAATATGCACTTGCAGACTCTACAAAAAGAGGGTTTCAAATCTGATCTATGAGAAGATAAGTTCAACTCTGTGAGTTGAGTACACACATAACCAAGAAGTTTCAGAGAATGCTTCTGTCTAGTTTTTATGTGAAGATATTTCCTTTTTCACCCTAGGCCTCAAAGTGCTCCAACTGTCCACTTCCAGATACTACAAAAAGAGTGTTTCAAAACTGCTCTAGGAAAAGAAATGTTCAATTCTGTGAGTTGAATGCAAGCATCACCAACAAGTTTCTGAGGATGCTTCTGTCTAGTGTTTATGTGAAGATACACTCGTTTCCAGGGAAGGCCTCAAAGCTGTCTAGATATCCACTTGCAAATTCTACAAAAAGAGGGATTCCTATCTGCTCTATCAAAAGAAAGTTTCAACTCTGTGAGTTGAATGCACACATTACACAGAACTTTCTGAGAATGCTTCTGTCTACTTTTATGTGAAGATATTCCGTTTCCGATGAATTCCTCACTGCTGTCCTTATATCCGCTTGTAAATTCTACAAGAAGAGTGTTTCCAAACTGCTGTATCAAAGGAAAGGTTTAACTCTGTGAGTTGAGTACACAAATCAGTACGTCGTTTCTGAGAATGCTTCCGTCTATTTTTATTGGAAGATATCCCTTTTTCACCCTATGTCTCAAATCACTCCAAATGTCCACTTGCAGATTCTACAAAAAGAATGTCTCAAAACTGCTGTGTGAAAAGGAAGGTACAACTCTGTGAGTTGAATGCGAACTTCATAAAGAACTTTCTGAGAATGCTTCTGTCTAGTTCTTATGTGTAGATATTCCCGTTTCCAATGAAAGCCTCAAAGCTATCCAAATATCCACTTGAAGATTCTAACAAAAAGAGTGTTTCAAAACTGCTGCATCAAAACCACGTTTCAAATCTGTGAGTTGACTACACATATCACAAAGCAGTTTCTGAGAATGCTTCTGTCGAATTTTTAGGTGAAGATATTGCCTTTTTCACCATAGGCCTCGAATCGCTCCTAACGTCCACTTCCAGATACCACAAAAAGATTGTTTCAGAACTGCTCTATCAAAAGAGAGCTCCAACTCTGGGAGTTGAATGCACACATCACAACGAAGTTTCTGAGAATGCTTCTGTCTAGTTTTATGTGAAGATATTCCCGTTTCCAATGAAGGCCTCAAAGCAGGCTAAATACCCATTTGGAGATTCTACAAAAAGAGTGTTTCAAAACTTCTCTTTCAAAAGAAAAGTTCAACTCTGTGAGTTGAGTACACACATCACAAAGTAGTTACTGAGAATTCTTCTGTCTACTTTTTATGGGAAGATATTCCCTTTTTCACCATAGGCCTCGAAGCGCTCCAAGTTTCCACTTACAGATTCTAGAAAAAGAGAGTTTCAAAACTGCTCTATGGAACGGAAACTTCAACTCTGTGAGTTGAATGCAAACTTCATAAAGAAGTTTCTGAGAATGCTTCTGTCTAGTTTTTCTGTGAAGATATTCCCGTTTCCAATCAAAGCCTCAAAGCTATCCAAATAACCACTTGCAGATTCTACAAAAAGAGTGTTTCAAAAGTGCTGTATCAAAAGAAAGGTTCAACTACTGTGAGTTGACTACACACATCACAAAGAAGTTTCTGAGAATGCTTCTGTCTAGTTTTTAGGTGAGGATATTTCCTTTTTCACCCTAGGCCTCAAAGCGCTCCAAAGGTCCACTTCCAGATACTACAAAAAGAGTGTTTGAAAACTGCTGTATGAAAGGGAATGTTCAACTCAGTGAGCTGAATGCAAGCATCACAAAGAAGTTTCTGAGAATGCTTCTTTCTAGTTTTTATGGGAAGATATTCCCGTTTCCAATGAAATCCTCAAAGCTATCCAAATATGCACTTGCAGACTCTACAAAAAGAGGGTTTCAAATCTGATCTATGAGAAGATAAGTTCAACTCTGTGAGTTGAGTACACACATAACCAAGAAGTTTCAGAGAATGCTTCTGTCTAGTTTTTATGTGAAGATATTTCCTTTTTCACCCTAGGCCTCAAAGTGCTCCAACTGTCCACTTCCAGATACTACAAAAAGAGTGTTTCAAAACTGCTCTAGGAAAAGAAATGTTCAATTCTGTGAGTTGAATGCAAGCATCACCAACAAGTTTCTGAGGATGCTTCTGTCTAGTGTTTATGTGAAGATACACTCGTTTCCAGGGAAGGCCTCAAAGCTGTCCAGATATCCACTTGCAAATTCTACAAAAAGAGGGCTTCCAATCTGCTCCATCAAAAGAAAGTTTCAACTCTGTGAGTTGAATGCACACATTACAAAGAACTTTCTGAGAATGCTTCTGTCTACTTTTATGTGAAGATATTCCGTTTCCGATGAATTCCTCACTGCTGTCCTTATATCCGCTTGTAAATTCTACAAGAAGAGTGTTTCCAAACTGCTGTATCAAAGGAAAGGTTTAACTCTGTGAGTTGAGTACACAAATCAGTACGTCGTTTCTGAGAATGCTTCCGTCTATTTTTATTGGAAGATATCCCTTTTTCACCCTATGTCTCAAATCACTCCAAATGTCCACTTGCAGATTCTACAAAAAGAATGTCTCAAAACTGCTGTGTGAAAAGGAAGGTACAACTCTGTGAGTTGAATGCGAACTTCATAAAGAACTTTCTGAGAATGCTTCTGTCTAGTTCTTATGTGTAGATATTCCCGTTTCCAATGAAAGCCTCAAAGCTATCCAAATATCCACTTGAAGATTCTAACAAAAAGAGTGTTTCAAAACTGCTGCATCAAAACCACGTTTCAAATCCGTGAGTTGACTACACATATCACAAAGCAGTTTCTGAGAATGCTTCTGTCTAATTTTTAGGTGAAGATATTGCCTTTTTCACCATAGGCCTCGAATCGCTCCAAACGTCCACTTCCAGATACCACAAAAAGATTGTTTCAGAACTGCTCTATCAAAAGAGAGCTTCAACTCTGGGAGTTGAATGCACACATCACAACGAAGTTTCTGAGAATGCTTCTGTCTAGTTTTATGTGAAGATATTCCCGTTTCCAATGAAGGCCTCAAAGCAGGCTAAATACCCATTTGCAGATTCTACAAAAAGAGTGTTTCAAAACTTCTCTTTCAAAAGAAAAGTTCAACTCTGTGAGTTGAGTACACACATCACAATGTAGTTACTGAGAATTCTTCTGTCTACTTTTTGTGGGAAGATATTCCCTTTTCCACCATAGGCCTCGAAGCGCTCCAAGTTTCCACTTACAGATTCTAGAAAAAGAGAGTTTCAAAACTGCTGTATGGAACGGAAACTTCAACTCTGTGAGTTGAATGCAAACTTCATAAACAACTTTCTGAGAATGCTTCTGTCTAGTTTTTATGTGAAGATATTCCCGTTTCCAATCAAAGCCTCAAAGCTATCAAAATAACCACTTGCAGATTCTACAAAAAGAGTGTTTCAAAAGTGCTGTATCAAAAGAAAGGTTCAACTCTGTGAGTTGACTACAGACATCACAAAGAAGTTTCTGAGAATGCTTCTGTCTAGCTTTTAGGTGAGGATATTTCCTTTTTCACCCTAGGCCTCAAAGCGCTCCAAAGGTCCACTTCCAGATACTACAAAAAGAGTGTTTGAAAACTGCTGTATGAAAGGGAATGTTCAACTCAGTGAGTTGAATGCAAGCATCACAAAGAAGTTTCTGAGAATGCTTCTTTCTAGTTTTTATGGGAAGATATTCCCGTTTCCAATGAAATCCTCAAAGCTATCCAAATATGCACTTGCAGACTCTACAAAAAGAGGGTTTCAAATCTGATCTATGAGAAGATAAGTTCAACTCTGTGAGTTGAGTACACACATAACCAAGAAGTTTCAGAGAATGCTTCTGTCTAGTTTTTATGTGAAGATATTTCCTTTTTCACCCTAGGCCTCAAAGTGCTCCAACTGTCCACTTCCAGATACTACAAAAAGAGTGTTTCAAAACTGCTCTAGGAAAAGAAATGTTCAATTCTGTGAGTTGAATGCAAGCATCACCAACAAGTTTCTGAGGATGCTTCTGTCTAGTGTTTATGTGAAGATACACTCGTTTCCAGGGAAGGCCTCAAAGCTGTCCAGATATCCACTTGCAAATTCTACAAAAAGAGGGCTTCCAATCTGCTCCATCAAAAGAAAGTTTCAACTCTGTGAGTTGAATGCACACATTACAAAGAACTTTCTGAGAATGCTTCTGTCTACTTTTATGTGAAGATATTCCGTTTCCGATGAATTCCTCACTGCTGTCCTTATATCCGCTTGCAAATTCTACAAGAAGAGTGTTTCCAAACTGCTGTATCAAAGGAAAGGTTTAACTCTGTGAGTTGAGTACACAAATCAGAAAGTCGTTTCTGAGAATGCTTCTGTCAACTTTTTATGGGAAGATATCCCTTTTTCACCCTAAGTCTCAAATCACTCCAAATGTCCACTTGCAGATTCTACAAAAAGAATGTCTCAAAACTGCTGTGTGAAAAGGAAGGTACAACTCTGTGAGTTGAATGCGAACTTCATAAAGAACTTTCTGAGAATGCTTCTGTCTAGTTCTTATGTGTAGATATTCCCGTTTCCAATGAAAGCCTCAAAGCTATCCAAATATCCACTTGAAGATTCTAACAAAAAGAGTGTTTCAAAACTGCTGCATCAAAACCACGTTTCAAATCCGTGAGTTGACTACACATATCACAAAGCAGTTTCTGAGAATGCTTCTGTCTAATTTTTAGGTGAAGATATTGCCTTTTTCACCATAGGCCTCGAATCGCTCCAAACGTCCACTTCCAGATACCACAAAAAGATTGTTTCAGAACTGCTCTATCAAAAGAGAGCTTCAACTCTGGGAGTTGAATGCACACATCACAACGAAGTTTCTGAGAATGCTTCTGTCTAGTTTTATGTGAAGATATTCCCGTTTCCAATGAAGGCCTCAAAGCAGGCTAAATACCCATTTGCAGATTCTACAAAAAGAGTGTTTCAAAACTTCTCTTTCAAAAGAAAAGTTCGACTCTGTGAGTTGAGTACACACATCACAATGTAGTTACTGAGAATTCTTCTGTCTACTTTTTATGGGAAGATATTCCCTTTTCCACCATAGGCCTCGAAGCGCTCCAAGTTTCCATTTACAGATTCTAGAAAAAGAGAGTTTCAAAACTGCTGTATGGAACGGAAACTTCAACTCTGTGAGTTGAATGCAAACTTCATAAAGAAATTTCTGAGAATGCTTCTGTCTAGTTTTTATGTGAAGATATTCCCGTTTCCAATCAAAGCCTCAAAGGTATCAAAATAACCACTTGCAGATTCTACAAAAAGAGTGTTTCAAAAGTGCTGTATCAAAAGAAAGGTTCAACTCTGTGAGTTGACTACACACTTCACAAAGAAGTTTCTGAGAATGCTTCTGTCTAGTTTTTAGGTGAGGATATTTCCTTTTTCACCCTAGGCCTCAAAGCGCTCCAAAGGTCCACTTCCAGATACTACAAAAAGAGTGTTTGAAAACTGCTGTATGAAAGGGAATGTTCAACTCAGTGAGTTGAATGCAAGCATCACAAAGAAGTTTCTGAGAATGCTTCTTTCTAGTTTTTATGGGAAGATATTCCCGTTTCCAATGAAATCCTCAAAGCTATCCAAATATGCACTTGCAGACTCTACAAAAAGAGGGTTTCAAATCTGATCTATGAGAAGATAAGTTCGACTCTGTGAGTTGAGTACACACATTACCAAGAAGTTTCAGAGAATGCTTCTGTCTAGTTTTTATGTGAAGATATTTCCTTTTTCACCCTAGGCCTCAAAGTGCTCCAACTGTCCACTTCCAGATACTACAAAAAGAGTATTTCAAAACTGCTCTAGGAAAAGAAATGTTCAATTCTGTGAGGTGAATGCAAGCATCACCAACAAGTTTCTGAGGATGCTTCTGTCTAGTGTTTATGTGAAGATACACTCGTTTCCAGGGAAGGCCTCAAAGCTGTCCAGATATCCACTTGCAAATTCTACAAAAAGAGGGCTTCCAATCTGCTCCATCAAAAGAAAGTTTCAACTCTGTGAGTTGAATGCACACATTACAAAGAACTTTCTGAGAATGCTTCTGTCTACTTTTATGTGAAGATATTCCGTTTCCGATGAATTCCTCACTGCTGTCCTTATATCCGCTTGTAAATTCTACAAGAAGAGTGTTTCCAAACTGCTGTATCAAAGGAAAGGTTTAACTCTGTGAGTTGAGTACACAAATCAGAACGTCGTTTCTGAGAATGCTTCCGTCAACTTTTTATGGGAAGATATCCCTTTTTCACCCTAAGTCTCAAATCACTCCAAATGTCCACTTGCAGATTCTACAAAAAGAATGTCTCAAAACTGCTGTGTGAAAAGGAAGGTACAACTCTGTGAGTTGAATGCGAACTTCATAAAGAACTTTCTGAGAATGCTTCTGTCTAGTTCTTATGTGTAGATATTCCCGTTTCCAATGAAAGCCTCAAAGCTATCCAAATATCCACTTGAAGATTCTAACAAAAAGAGTGTTTCAAAACTGCTGCATCAAAACCACGTTTCAAATCTGTGAGTTGACTACACATATCACAAAGCAGTTTCTGAGAATGCTTCTGTCTAATTTTTAGGTGAAGATATTGCCTTTTTCACCATAGGCCTCGAATCGCTCCAAACGTCCACTTCCAGATACCACAAAAAGATTGTTTCAGAACTGCTCTATCAAAAGAGAGCTTCAACTCTGGGAGTTGAATGCACACATCACAACGAAGTTTCTGAGAATGCTTCTGTCTAGTTTTATGTGAAGATATTCCCGTTTCCAATGAAGGCCTCAAAGCAGGCTAAATACCCATTTGGAGATTCTACAAAAAGAGTGTTTCAAAACTTCTCTTTCAAAAGAAAAGTTCAACTCTGTGAGTTGAGTACACACATCACAAAGTAGTTACTGAGCATTCTTCTGTCTACTTTTTATGGGAAGATATTCCCTTTTCCACCACAGGCCTCGAAGCGCTCCAAGTTTCCACTTACAGATTCTAGAAAAAGAGAGTTTCAAAACTGCTGTATGGAACGGAAACTTCAACTCTGTGAGTTGAATGCAAACTTCATAAGGAAGTTTCTGAGAATGCTTTCTGTCTAGTTTTTATGTGAAGATATTCCCGTTTCCAATCAAAGCCTCAAAGCTATCCAAATAACCACTTGCAGATTCTACAAAAAGAGTGTTTCAAAAGTGCTGTATCAAAAGAAATGTTCAACTCTGTGAGTTGACTACACACATCACAAAGAAGTTTCTGAGAATGCTTCTGTCTAGTTTTTATGTGAAGATATTTCCTTTTTCACCCTAGGCCTCAAAGTGCTCCAAATGTCCACTTCCAGATACTACAAAAAGAGTGTTTCAAAACTGCTCTAGGAAAAGAAATGTTCAATTCTGTGAGTTGAATGCAAGCATCACCAACAAGTTTCTGAGGATGCTTCTGTCTAGTGTTTATGTGAAGATACACTCGTTTCCAGGGAAGGCCTCAAAGCTGTCTAGATATCCACTTGCAAATTCTACAAAAAGAGGGATTCCAATCTGCTCTATCAAAAGAAAGTTTCAACTCTGTGAGTTGAATGCACACATTACACAGAACTTTCTGAGAATGCTTCTGTCTACTTTTATGTGAAGATATTCCGTTTCCGATGAATTCCTCACTGCTGTCCTTATATCCGCTTGCAAATTCTACAAGAAGAGTGTTTCCAAACTGCTGTATCAAAGGAAAGGTTTAACTCTGTGAGTTGAGTACACAAATCAGAAAGTCGTTTCTGAGAATGCTTCTGTCAACTTTTTATGGGAAGATATCCCTTTTTCACCCTAAGTCTCAAATCACTCCAAATGTCCACTTGCAGATTCTACAAAAAGAATGTCTCAAAACTGCTGTGTGAAAAGGAAGGTACAACTCTGTGAGTTGAATGCGAACTTCATAAAGAACTTTCTGAGAATGCTTCTGTCTAGTTCTTATGTGTAGATATTCCCGTTTCCAATGAAAGCCTCAAAGCTATCCAAATATCCACTTGAAGATTCTAACAAAAAGAGTGTTTCAAAACTGCTGCATCAAAACCACGTTTCAAATCTGTGAGTTGACTACACATATCACAAAGCAGTTTCTGAGAATGCTTCTGTCTAGTTTTTATGTGAAGATATTTCCTTTTTCACCATAGGCCTCGAAGCACTCCTAATGTCCACTTCCAGATACTACAAAAAGAGTGTTTCAGAACTGCTCTATCAAAAGAAAGGTTCAACTCGGTGAGTTGAATGCACACATCACAACGAAGTTTCTGAGAATGTTTCTGTCTAGTTTTATGTGAAGATATTCCCGTTTCCAATGAAGGCCTCAAAGCAGGCTAAATACCCATTTGCAGATTCTACAAAAAGAGTGTTTCAAAACTTCTCTTTCAAAAGAAAAGTTCAACTCTGTGAGTTGAGTACACACATCACAAAGTAGTTACTGAGAATTCTTCTGTCTACTTTTTATGGGAAGATATTCCCTTTTCCACCACAGGCCTCGAAGCGCTCCAAGTTTCCACTTACAGATTCTAGAAAAAGAGAGTTTCAAAACTGCTGTATGGAACGGAAACTTCAACTCTGTGAGTTGAATGCAAACTTCATAAGGAAGTTTCTGAGAATGCTTCTGTCTTGTTTTTCTGTGAAGATATTCCCGTTTCCAATCAAAGCCTCAAAGCTATCCAAATAACCACTTGCAGATTCTACAAAAAGAGTGTTTCAAAAGTGCTGTATCAAAAGAAATGTTCAACTCTGTGAGTTGACTACACACATCACAAAGAAGTTTCTGAGAATGCTTCTGTCTAGTTTTTAGGTGAGGATATTTCCTTTTTCACCCTAGGCCTCAAAGCGCTCCAAAGGTCCACTTCCAGATACTACAAAAAGAGTGTTTGAAAACTGCTGTATGAAAGGGAATGTTCAACTCAGTGAGTTGAATGCAAGCATCACAAAGAAGTTTCTGAGAATGCTTCTTTCTAGTTTTTATGGGAAGATATTCCCGTTTCCAATGAAATCCTCAAAGCTATCCAAATATGCACTTGCAGACTCTACAAAAAGAGGGTTTCAAATCTGATCTATGAGAAGATAAGTTCAACTCTGTGAGTTGAGAACACACATAACCAAGAAGTTTCAGAGAATGCTTCTGTCTAGTTTTTATGTGAAGATATTTCCTTTTTCACCCTAGGCCTCAAAGTGCTCCAACTGTCCACTTCCAGATACTACAAAAAGAGTGTTTCAAAACTGCTCTAGGAAAAGAAATGTTCAATTCTGTGAGTTGAATGCAAGCATCACCAACAAGTTTCTGAGGATGCTTCTGTCTAGTGTTTACGTGAAGATACACTCGTTTCCAGGGAAGGCCTCAAAGCTGTCCAGATATCCACTTGTTAATTCTACAAAAAGAGGGCTTCCAATCTGCTCTATCAAAAGAAAGTTTCAACTCTGTGAGTTGAATGCACACATTACAAAGAACTTTCTGAGAATGCTTCTGTCTACTTTTATGTGAAGATATTCCGTTTCCGATGAATTCCTCACTGCTGTCCTTATATCCGCTTGTAAATTCTACAAGAAGAGTGTTTCCAAACTGCTGTATCAAAGGAAAGATTTAACTCTGTGAGTTGAGTACACAAATCAGAACGTCGTTTCTGAGAATGCTTCTGTCAACTTTTTATGGGAAGATATCCCTTTTTCACCCTAAGTCTCAAATCACTCCAAATGTCCACTTGCAGATTCTACAAAAAGAATGTCTCAAAACTGCTGTGTGAAAAGGAAGGTACAACTCTGTGAGTTGAATGCGAACTTCATAAAGAACTTTCTGAGAATGCTTCTGTCTAGTTCTTATGTGTAGATATTCCCGTTTCCAATGAAAGCCTCAAAGCTATCCAAATATCCACTTGAAGATTCTAACAAAAAGAGTGTTTCAAAACTGCTGCATCAAAACCAAGTTTCAAATCTGTGAGTTGACTACACATATCACAAAGCAGTTTCTGAGAATGCTTCTGTCAAATTTTTAGGTGAAGATATTGTCCTTTTCACCATAGGCCTCGAATCGCTCCAAACGTCCACTTCCAGATACCACAAAAAGATTGTTTCAGAACTGCTCTATCAAAAGAGAGCTTCAACTCTGGGAGTTGAATGCACACATCACAACGAAGTTTCTGAGAATGCTTCTGTCTAGTTTTATGTGAAGATATTCCCGTTTCCAATGAAGGCCTCAAAGCAGGCTAAATACCCATTTGCAGATTCTACAAAAAGAGTGTTTCAAAACTTCTCTTTCAAAAGAAAAGTTCAACCCTGTGAGTTGAGTACACACATCACAAAGTAGTTACTGAGAATTCTTCTGTCTACTTTTTAGGGGAAGATATTCCCTTTTTCACCATAGGCCTCGAAGCGCTCCAAGTTTCCACTTACAGATTCTAGAAAAAGAGAGTTTCAAAACTGCTGTATGGAACGGAAAGTTCAACTCTGTGAGTTGAATGCAAACTTCATAAAGAAGTTTCTGAGAATGCTTCTGTCTAGTTTTTATGTGAAGACATTCCCGTTTCCAGTGAAAGCCTCAAAGCTATCAAAATAACCACTTGCAGATTCTACAAAAAGAGTGTTTCAAAACTGCTGTATCAAAAGAAAGGTTCAACTCTCTGAGTTGACTACACACACCACAAAGATGTTTCTGAGAATGCTTCTCTCTAGTTTTTAGGTGAGGATATTTCCTTTTTCACCCTAGGCCTCAAAGCGCTCCAAATGTCCACTTCCAGACACTACAAAAAGAGTGTTTCCAAACTGCTGTATGAAAGGGAATGTTCAACTCTGTGAGTTGAATGCAAGCATCACAAAGAAATTTCTGAGAATGCTTCTTTCTAGTTTTTATGGGAAGATATTCCCGTTTCCAATGAAATCCTCAAAGCTATCCAAATATGCACTTGCAGACTCTACAAAAAGAGGGTTTCAAATCTGATCTATGAGAAGATAAGTTCAACTCTGTGAGTTGAGTACACACATAACCAAGAAGTTTCAGAGAATGCTTCTGTCTAGTTTTTATGTGAAGATATTTCCTTTTTCACCCTAGGCCTCAAAGTGCTCCAACTGTCCACTTCCAGATACTACAAAAAGAGTGTTTCAAAACTGCTCTAGGAAAAGAAATGTTCAATTCTGTGAGTTGAATGCAAGCATCACCAACAAGTTTCTGAGGATGCTTCTGTCTAGTGTTTATGTGAAGATACACTCGTTTCCAGGGAAGGCCTCAAAGCTGTCCAGATATCCACTTGCAAATTCTACAAAAAGAGGGCTTCCAATCTGCTCTATCAAAAGAAAGTTTCAACTCTGTGAGTTGAATGCACACATTACAAAGGACTTTCTGAGAATGCTTCTGTCTACTTTTATGTGAAGATATTCCGTTTCCGATGAATTCCTCACTGCTGTCCTTATATCCGCTTGTAAATTCTCCAAGAAGAGTGTTTCCAAACTGCTGTATCAAAGGAAAGGTTTAACTCTGTGAGTTGAGTACACATATCAGAAAGTCGTTTCTGAGAATGCTTCTGTCAACTTTTTATGGGAAGATATCCCTTTTTCACCCTAAGTCTCAAATCACTCCAAATGTCCACTTGCAGATTCTACAAAAAGAATGTCTCAAAACTGCTGTGTGAAAAGGAAGGTACAACTCTGTGAGTTGAATGCGAACTTCATAAAGAACTTTCTGAGAATGCTTCTGTCTAGTTCTTATGTGTAGATATTCCCGTTTCCAATGAAAGCCTCAAAGCTATCCAAATATCCACTTGAAGATTCTAACAAAAAGAGTGTTTCAAAACTGCTGCATCAAAACCACGTTTCAAATCTGTGAGTTGACTACACATATCACAAAGCAGTTTCTGAGAATGCTTCTGTCTAATTTTTAGGTGAAGATATTGCCTTTTTCACCATAGGCCTCGAATCGCTGCAAACGTCCACTTCCAGATACCACAAAAAGATTGTTTCAGAACTGCTCTATCAAAAGAGAGCTTCAACTCTGGGAGTTGAATGCACACATCACAACGAAGTTTCTGAGAATGCTTCTGTCTAGTTTTATGTGAAGATATTCCCGTTTCCAATGAAGGCCTCAAAGCAGGCTAAATACCCATTTGCAGATTCTACAAAAAGAGTGTTTCAAAACTTCTCTTTCAAAAGAAAAGTTCAACTCTGTGAGTTGAGTACACACATCACAAAGTAGTTACTGAGAATTCTTCTGTCTACTTTTTATGGGAAGATATTTCCTTTTCCACCATAGGCCTTAAAGCACTCCAAGTTTCCACTTACAGATTCTACAAAAAGAGTGTTTCAAAACTGTTCTATGAAAGGGAATGTTCAACTCTGTGAGTTGAATGCAAACTTCATAAAGAAGTTTCTGAGAATGCTTCTGTCTAGTTTTTATGTGAAGATATTCCCATTTCCAAAGAAAGCCTCAAAGCTATCCAAATAACCACTTGCAGATTCTACAAAAAGAGTGATTCAAAACAACTGTTTCAAAAGAAAGGTTCAACTCTGTGAGTTGACTACACACATCACAAAGAAGTTTCTGAGAATGCTTCTGTCTAGTTTTTAGGTGAGGATATTTCCTTTTTCACCCTAGGCCTCAAAGCGCTCCAAAGGTCCACTTCCAGATACTACAAAAATAGTGTTTGAGAACTGCTGTATGAAAGGGAATGTTCAACTCAGTGAGTTGAATGCAAGCATCACAAAGAAGTTTCTGAGAATGCTTCTTTCTAGTTTTTATGGGAAGATATTCCCGTTTCCAATGAAATCCTCAAAGCTATCCAGATATGCACTTGCAGACTCTACAAAAAGAGGGTTTCAAATCTGATCTATGAGAAGATAAGTTCAACTCTGTGAGTTGAGTACACACATAACCAAGAAGTTTCAGAGAATGCTTCTGTCTAGTTTTTATGTGAAGATATTTCCTTTTTCACCCTAGGCCTCAAAGTGCTCCAACTGTCCACTTCCAGATACTACAAAAAGAGTGTTTCAAAACTGCTCTAGGAAAAGAAATGTTCAATTCTGTGAGTTGAATGCAAGCATCACCAACAAGTTTCTGAGGATGCTTCTGTCTAGTGTTTATGTGAAGATACACTCGTTTCCAGGGAAGGCCTCAAAGCTGTCCAGATATCCACTTGCAAATTCTACAAAAAGAGGGCTTCCAATCTGCTCTATCAAAAGAAAGTTTCAACTCTGTGAGTTGAATGCACACATTACAAAGAACTTTCTGAGAATGCTTCTGTCTACTTTTATGTGAAGATATTCCGTTTCCGATGAATTCCTCACTGCTGTCCTTATATCCGCTTGTAAATTCTACAAGAAGAGTGTTTCCAAACTGCTGTATCAAAGGAAAGGTTTAACTCTGTGAGTTGAGTACACAAATCAGTACGTCGTTTCTGAGAATGCTTCTGTCAACTTTTTATGGGAAGATATCCCTTTTTCACCCTAAGTCTCAAATCACTCCAAATGTCCACTTGCAGATTCTACAAAAAGAATGTCTCAAAACTGCTGTGTGAAAAGGAAGGTACAACTCTGTGAGTTGAATGCGAACTTCATAAAGAACTTTCTGAGAATGCTTCTGTCTAGTTCTTATGTGTAGATATTCCCGTTTCCAATGAAAGCCTCAAAGCTATCCAAATATCCACTTGAAGATTCTAACAAAAAGAGTGTTTCAAAACTGCTGCATCAAAACCACGTTTCAAATCTGTGAGTTGACTACACATATCACAAAGCAGTTTCTGAGAATGCTTCTGTCTAATTTCTAGGTGAAGATATTGCCTTTTTCACCATAGGCCTCGAATCGCTCCAAACGTCCACTTCCAGATACCACAAAAAGATTGTTTCAGAACTGCTCTATCAAAAGAGAGCTTCAACTCTGGGAGTTGAATGCACACATCACAACGAAGTTTCTGAGAATGCTTCTGTCTAGTTTTATGTGAAGATATTCCCGTTTCCAATGAAGGCCTCAAAGCAGGCTAAATACCCATTTGCAGATTCTACAAAAAGAGTGTTTCAAAACTTCTCTTTCAAAAGAAAAGTTCAACTCTGTGAGTTGAGTACACACATCACAAAGTAGTTACTGAGAATTCTTCTGTCTACTTTTTGTGGGAAGATATTCCCTTTTCCACCATAGGCCTCGAAGCGCTCCAAGTTTCCACTTACAGATTCTAGAAAAAGAGAGTTTCAAAACTGCTGTATGGAACGGAAACTTCAACTCTGTGAGTTGAATGCAAACTTCATAAACAACTTTCTGAGAATGCTTCTGTCTAGTTTTTCTGTGAAGATATTCCCGTTTCCAATCAAAGCCTCAAAGCTACCAAAATAACCACTTGCAGATTCTACAAAAAGAGTGTTTCAAAAGTGCTGTATCAAAAGAAAGGTTCAACTCTGTGAGTTGACTACACACATCACAAAGAAGTTTCTGAGAATGCTTCTGTCTAGTTTTTAGGTGAGGATATTTCCTTTTTCACCCTAGGCCTCAAAGCGCTCCAAAGGTCCACTTCCAGATACTACAAAAAGTGTGTTTGAAAACTGCTGTATGAAAGGGAATGTTCAACTCAGTGAGTTGAATGCAAGCATCACAAAGAAGTTTCTGAGAATGCTTCTTTCTAGTTTTTATGGGAAGATATTCCCGTTTCCAATGAAATCCTCAAAGGTATCCAAATATGCACTTGCAGACTCTACAAAAAGAGGGTTTCAAATCTGATCTATGAGAAGATAAGTTCAACTCTGTGAGTTGAGTACACACATAACCAAGAAGTTTCAGAGAATGCTTCTGTCTAGTTTTTATGTGAAGATATTTCCTTTTTCACCCTAGGCCTCAAAGTGCTCCAACTGTCCACTTCCAGATACTACAAAAAGAGTGTTTCAAAACTGCTCTAGGAAAAGAAATGTTCAATTCTGTGAGTTGAATGCAAGCATCACCAACAAGTTTCTGAGGATGCTTCTGTCTAGTGTTTATGTGAAGATACACTCGTTTCCAGGGAAGGCCTCAAAGCTGTCCAGATATCCACTTGCAAATTCTACAAAAAGAGGGCTTCCAATCTGCTCTATCAAAAGAAAGTTTCAACTCTGTGAGTTGAATGCACACATTACAAAGAACTTTCTGAGAATGCTTCTGTCTACTTTTATGTGAAGATATTCCATTTCCGATGAATTCCTCACTGCTGTCCTTATATCCGCTTGTAAATTCTACAAGAAGAGTGTTTCCAAACTGCTGTATCAAAGGAAAGGTTTAACTACTGTGAGTTGAGTACACAAATCAGAAAGTCGTTTCTGAGAATGCTTCTGTCAACTTTTTATGGGAAGATATCCCTTTTTCACCCTAAGTCTCAAATCACTCCAAATGTCCACTTGCAGATTCTACAAAAAGAATGTCTCAAAACTGCTGTGTGAAAAGGAAGGTACAACTCTGTGAGTTGAATGCGAACTTCATAAAGAACTTTCTGAGAATGCTTCTGTCTAGTTCTTATGTGTAGATATTCCCGTTTCCAATGAAAGCCTCAAAGCTATCCAAATATCCACTTGAAGATTCTAACAAAAAGAGTGTTTCAAAACTGCTGCATCAAAACCCAGTTTCAAATCTGTGAGTTGACTACACATATCACAAAGCAGTTTCTGAGAATGCTTCTGTCTAATTTTTAGGTGAAGATATTGCCTTTTTCACCATAGGCCTCGAATCGCTCCAAACGTCCACTTCCAGATACCACAAAAAGATTGTTTCAGAACTGCTCTATCAAAAGAGAGGTTCAACTCTGGGAGTTGAATGCACACATCACAACGAAGTTTCTGAGAAAGCTTCTGTCTAGTTTTATGTGAAGATATTCCCGTTTCCAATGAAGGCCTCAAAGCAGGCTAAATACCCATTTGCAGATTCTACAAAAAGAGTGTTTCAAAACTTCTCTTTCAAAAGAAAAGTTCAACTCTGTGAGTTGAGTACACACATCACAAAGTAGTTACTGAGAATTCTTCTGTCTACTTTTTATGGGAAGATATTTCCTTTTCCACCACAGGCCTCGAAGCGCTCCAAGTTTCCACTTACAGATTCTAGAAAAAGAGAGTTTCAAAACTGCTGTATGGAACGGAAACTTCAACTCTGTGAGTTGAATGCAAACTTCATAAGGAAGTTTCTGAGAATGCTTCTGTCTAGTTTTTCTGTGAAGATATTCCCGTTTCCAATCAAAGCCTCAAAGCTATCCAAATAACCACTTGCAGATTCTACAAAAAGAGTGTTTCAAAAGTGCTGTATCAAAAGAAAGGTTCAACTCTGTGAGTTGACTACACACATCACAAAGAAGTTTCTGAGAATGCTTCTGTCTAGTTTTTAGGTGAGGATATTTCCTTTTTCACCCTAGGCCTCAAAGCGCTCCAAAGGTCCACTTCCAGATACTACAAAAAGAGTGTTTGAAAACTGCTGTATGAAAGGGAATGTTCAACTCAGTGAGTTGAATGCAAGCATCACAAAGAAGTTTATGAGAATGCTTCTTTCTAGTTTTTATGGGAAGATATTCCCGTTTCCAATGAAATCCTCAAAGCTATCCAAATATGCACTTGCAGACTCTACAAAAAGAGGGTTTCAAATCTGATCTATGAGAAGATAAGTTCAACTCTGTGAGTTGAGTACACACATAACCAAGAAGTTTCAGAGAATGCTTCTGTCTAGTTTTTATGTGAAGATATTTCCTTTTTCACCCTAGGCCTCAAAGTGCTCCAACTGTCCACTTCCAGATACTACAAAAAGAGTGTTTCAAAACTGCTCTAGGAAAAGAAATGTTCAATTCTGTGAGTTGAATGCAAGCATCACCAACAAGTTTCTGAGGATGCTTCTGTCTAGTGTTTATGTGAAGATACACTCGTTTCCAGGGAAGGCCTCAAAGCTGTCCAGATATCCACTTGCAAATTCTACAAAAAGAGGGCTTCCAATCTGCTCTATCAAAAGAAAGTTTCAACTCTGTGAGTTGAATGCACACATTACAAAGAACTTTCTGAGAATGCTTCTGTCTACTTTTATGTGAAGATACTCCGTTTCCGATGAAATCCTCACTGCTGTCCTTATATCCGCTTGTAAATTCTACAAGAAGAGTGTTTCCAAAATGCTGTATCAAAGGAAAGGTTTAACTCTGTGAGTTGAGTACACAAATCAGGAAGTCGTTTCTGAAGATGCTTCTGTCAACTTTTTATGGGAAGATATCCCTTTTTCACCCTAAGTCTCAAATCACTCCAAATGTCCACTTGCAGATTCTACAAAAAGAATGTCTCAAAACTGCTGTGTGAAAAGGAAGGTACAACTCTGTGAGTTGAATGCGAACTTCATAAAGAACTTTCTGAGAATGCTTCTGTCTAGTTCTTATGTGTAGATATTCCCGTTTCCAATGAAAGCCTCAAAGCTATCCAAATATCCACTTGAAGATTCTAACAAAAAGAGTGTTTCAAAACTGCTGCATCAAAACCAAGTTTCAAATCTGTGAGTTGACTACACATATCACAAAGCAGTTTCTGAGAATGCTTCTGTCTAATTTTTAGGTGAAGATATTGCCTTTTTCACCATAGGCCTCGAATCGCTCCAAACGTCCACTTCCAGATACCACAAAAAGATTGTTTCAGAACTGCTCTATCAAAAGAGAGCTTCAACTCTGGGAGTTGAATGCACACATCACAACGAAGTTTCTGAGAATGCTTCTGTCTAGTTTTATGTGAAGATATTCCCGTTTCCAATGAAGGCCTCAAAGCAGGCTAAATACCCATTTGCAGATTCTACAAAAAGAGTGTTTCAAAACTTCTCTTTCAAAAGAAAAGTTCAACTCTGTGAGTTGAGTACACACATCACAAAGTAGTTACTGAGCATTCTTCTGTCTACTTTTTATGGGAAGATATTCCCTTTTTCACCATAGGCCTCGAAGCGCTCCAAGTTTCCACTTACAGATTCTAGAAAAAGAGAGTTTCAAAACTGCTGTATGGAATGGAAACTTCAACTCTGTGAGTTGAATGCAAACTTCATAAAGAAGTTTCTGAGAATGCTTCTGTCTAGTTTTTTTGTGAAGATATTCCCGTTTCCAATCAAAGCCTCAAAGCTATCCAAATAACCACTTGCAGATTCTACAAAAAGAGTGTTTCAAAAGTGCTGTATCAAAAGAAAGGTTCAACTCCGTGAGTTGACTACACACATCACAAAGAAGTTTCTGAGAATGCTTCTGTCTAGTTTTTAGGTGAGGATATTTCCTTTTTCACCCTAGGCCTCAAAGCGCTCCAAAGGTCCACTTCCAGATACTACAAAAAGAGTGTTTGAAAACTGCTGTATGAAAGGGAATGTTCAACTCAGTGAGTTGAATGCAAGCATCACAAAGAAGTTTCTGAGAATGCTTCTTTCTAGTTTTTATGGGAAGATATTCCCGTTTCCAATGAAATCCTCAAAGCTATCCAAATATGCACTTGCAGACTCTACAAAAAGAGGGTTTCAAATCTCATCTATGAGAAGATAAGTTCAACTCTGTGAGTTGAGTACACACATCACAAAGAAGTTTCAGAGAATGCTTCTGTCTAGTTTTTATGTGAAGATATTTCCTTTTTCACCCTAGGCCTCAAAGTGCTCCAACTGTCCACTTCCAGATACTACAAAAAGAGTGTTTCAAAACTGCTCTAGGAAAAGAAATGTTCAATTCTGTGAGTTGAATGCAAGCATCACCAACAAGTTTCTGAGGATGCTTCTGTCTAGTGTTTATGTGAAGATACACTCGTTTCCAGGGAAGGCCTCAAAGCTGTCCAGATATCCACTTGCAAATTCTACAAAAAGAGGGCTTCCAATCTGCTCCATCAAAAGAAAGTTTCAACTCTGTGAGTTGAATGCACACATTACAAAGAACTTTCTGAGAATGCTTCTGTCTACTTTTATGTGAAGATATTCCGTTTCCGATGAATTCCTCACTGCTGTCCTTATATCCGCTTGTAAATTCTACAAGAAGAGTGTTTCCAAACTGCTGTATCAAAGGAAAGGTTTAACTCTGTGAGTTGAGTACACAAATCAGTACGTCGTTTCTGAGAATGCTTCCGTCTATTTTTATGGGAAGATATCCCTTTTTCACCCTATGTCTCAAATCACTCCAAATGTCCACTTGCAGATTCTACAAAAAGAATGTCTCAAAACTGCTGTGTGAAAAGGAAGGTACAACTCTGTGAGTTGAATGCGAACTTCATAAAGAACTTTCTGAGAATGCTTCTGTCTAGTTCTTATGTGTAGATATTCCCGTTTCCAATGAAAGCCTCAAAGCTATCCAAATATCCACTTGAAGATTCTAACAAAAAGAGTGTTTCAAAACTGCTGCATCAAAACCACGTTTCAAATCTGTGAGTTGACTACACATATCACAAAGCAGTTTCTGAGAATGCTTCTGTCTAATTTTTAGGTGAAGATATTGCCTTTTTCACCATAGGCCTCGAATCGCTCCAAACGTCCACTTCCAGATACCACAAAAAGATTGTTTCAGAACTGCTCTATCAAAAGAGAGCTTCAACTCTGGGAGTTGAATGCACACATCACAACGAAGTTTCTGAGAATGCTTCTGTCTAGTTTTATGTGAAGATATTCCCGTTTCCAATGAAGGCCTCAAAGCAGGCTAAATACCCATTTGCAGATTCTACAAAAAGAGTGTTTCAAAACTTCTCTTTCAAAAGAAAAGTTCAACTCTGTGAGTTGAGTACACACATCACAAAGTAGTTACTGAGAATTCTTCTGTCTACTTTTTATGGGAAGATATTCCCTTTTCCACCACAGGCCTCGAAGCGCTCCAAGTTTCCACTTACAGATTCTAGAAAAAGAGAGTTTCAAAACTGCTGTATGGAACGGAAAGTTCAACTCTGTGAGTTGAATGCAAACTTCATAAAGAAGTTTCTGAGAATGCTTCTGTCCAGTTTTTATGTGAAGATATTCCCGTTTCCAATCAAAGCCTCAAAGCTATCCAAATAACCACTTGCAGATTCTACAAAAAGAGTGTTTCAAAAGTGCTGTATCAAAAGAAAGGTTCAACTCTGTGAGTTGACTACACACATCACAAAGAAGTTTCTGAGAATGCTTCTGTCTAGTTTTTAGGTGAGGATATTTCCTTTTTCACCCTAGGCCTCAAAGCGCTCCAAAGGTCCACTTCCAGATACTACAAAAAGAGTGTTTGAGAACTGCTGTATGAAAGGGAATGTTCAACTCAGTGAGTTGAATGCAAGCATCACAAAGAAGTTTCTGAGAATGCTTCTTTCTAGTTTTTATGGGAAGATATTCCCGTTTCCAATGAAATCCTCAAAGCTATCCAAATATGCACTTGCAGACTCTACAAAAAGAGGGTTTCAATTCTGATCTATGAGAAGATAAGTTCAACTCTGTGAGTTGAGTACACACATAACCAAGAAGTTTCAGAGAATGCTTCTGTCTAGTTTTTATGTGAAGATATTTCCTTTTTCACCCTAGGCCTCAAAGTGCTCCAACTGTCCACTTCCAGATACTACAAAAAGAGTGTTTCAAAACTGCTCTAGGAAAAGAAATGTTCAATTCTGTGAGTTGAATGCAAGCATCACCAACAAGTTTCTGAGGATGCTTCTGTCTAGTGTTTATGTGAAGATACACTAGTTTCCAGGGAAGGCCTCAAAGCTGTCCAGATATCCACTTGCAAATTCTACAAAAAGAGGGCTTCCAATCTGCTCTATCAAAAGAAAGTTTCAACTCTGTGAGTTGAATGCACACATTACAAAGGACTTTCTGAGAATGCTTCTGTCTACTTTTATGTGAAGATATTCCGTTTCCGATGAATTCCTCACTGCTGTCCTTATATCCGCTTGTAAATTCTCCAAGAAGAGTGTTTCCAAACTGCTGTATCAAAGGAAAGGTTTAACTCTGTGAGTTGAGTACACAAATCAGAAAGTCGTTTCTGAGAATGCTTCTGTCAACTTTTTATGGGAAGATATCCCTTTTTCACCCTAAGTCTCAAATCACTCCAAATGTCCACTTGCAGATTCTACAAAAAGAATGTCTCAAAACTGCTGTGTGAAAAGGAAGGTACAACTCTGTGAGTTGAATGCGAACTTCATAAAGAACTTTCTGAGAATGCTTCTGTCTAGTTCTTATGTGTAGATATTCCCGTTTCCAATGAAAGCCTCAAAGCTATCCAAATATCCACTTGAAGATTCTAACAAAAAGAGTGTTTCAAAACTGCTGCATCAAAACCCAGTTTCAAATCTGTGAGTTGACTACACATATCACAAAGCAGTTTCTGAGAATGCTTCTGTCTAGTTTTTAGGTGAAGATATTGCCTTTTTCACCATAGGCCTCAAATCGCTCCCAACGTCCACTTCCGGATACCACAAAAAGATTGTTTCAGAACTGCTCTATCAAAAGAGAGGTTCAACTCTGGGAGTTGAATGCACACATCACAACGAAGTTTCTGAGAATGCTTCTGTCTAGTTTTATGTGAAGATATTCCCGTTTCCAATGAAGGCCTCAAAGCAGGCTACATACCCATTTGCAGATTCTACAAAAAGGGTGTTTCAAAACTTCTCTTTCAAAAGAAAAGTTCAACTCCGTGAGTTGAGTACACACATCACAAATAGTTACTGAGAATTCTTCTGTCTACTTTTTATGGGAAGATATTCCCTTTTTCACCATAGGCCTCGAAGCGCTCCAAGTTTCCACTTATAGATTCTAGAAAAAGAGAGTTTCAAAACTGCTGTATGGAACGGAAAGTTCAACTCTGTGAGTTGAATGCAAACTTCATAAAGAAGTTTCTGAGAATGCTTCCGTCTAGTTTTTATGTGAAGATATTCCCGTTTCCAATCAAAGCCTCAAAGGTATCAAAATAACCACTTGCAGATTCTACAAAAAGAGTGTTTCAAAAGTGCTGTATCAAAAGAAAGGTTCAACTCTGTGAGTTGACTACACACTTCACAAAGAAGTTTCTGAGAATGCTTCTGTCTAGTTTTTAGGTGAGGATATTTCCTTTTTCACCCTAGGCCTCAAAGCGCTCCAAAGGTCCACTTCCAGATACTACAAAAAGAGTGTTTGAGAACTGCTGTATGAATGGGAATGTTCAACTCAGTGAGTTGAATGCAAGCATCACAAAGAAGTTTCTGAGAATGCTTCTTTCTAGTTTTTATGGGAAGATATTCCCGTTTCCAATGAAATCCTCAAAGCTATCCAAATATGCACTTGCAGACTCTACAAAAAGAGGGTTTCAAATCTGATCTATGAGAAGATAAGTTCAACTCTGTGAGTTGAGTACACACATAACCAAGAAGTTTCAGAGAATGCTTCTGTCTAGTTTTTATGTGAAGATATTTCCTTTTTCACCCTAGGCCTCAAAGTGCTCCAACTGTCCACTTCCAGATACTACAAAAAGAGTGTTTCAAAACTGCTCTAGGAAAAGAAATGTTCAATTCTGTGAGTTGAATGCAAGCATCACCAACAAGTTTCTGAGGATGCTTCTGTCTAGTGTTTATGTGAAGATACACTCGTTTCCAGGGAAGGCCTCAAAGCTGTCCAGATATCCACTTGCAAATTCTACAAAAAGAGGGCTTCCAATCTGCTCTATCAAAAGAAAGTTTCAACTCTGTGAGTTGAATGCACACATTACAAAGAACTTTCTGAGAATGCTTCTGTCTACTTTTATGTGAAGATATTCCATTTCCGATGAATTCCTCACTGCTGTCCTTATATCCGCTTGTAAATTCTACAAGAAGAGTGTTTCCAAACTGCTGTATCAAAGGAAAGGTTTAACTCTGTGAGTTGAGTACACAAATCAGAAAGTCGTTTCTGAGAATGCTTCTGTCAACTTTTTATGGGAAGATATCCCTTTTTCACCCTAAGTCTCAAATCACTCCAAATGTCCACTTGCAGATTCTACAAAAAGAATGTCTCAAAACTGCTGTGTGAAAAGGAAGGTACAACTCTGTGAGTTGAATGCGAACTTCATAAAGAACTTTCTGAGAATGCTTCTGTCTAGTTCTTATGTGTAGATATTCCCGTTTCCAATGAAAGCCTCAAAGCTATCCAAATATCCACTTGAAGATTCTAACAAAAAGAGTGTTTCAAAACTGCTGCATCAAAACCACGTTTCAAATCTGTGAGTTGACTACACATATCACAAAGCAGTTTCTGAGAATGCTTCTGTCTAATTTTTAGGTGAAGATATTGCCTTTTTCACCATAGGCCTCGAATCGCTGCAAACGTCCACTTCCAGATACCACAAAAAGATTCTTTCAGAACTGCTCTATCAAAAGAGAGCTTCAACTCTGGGAGTTGAATGCACACATCACAACGAAGTTTCTGAGAATGCTTCTGTCTAGTTTTATGTGAAGATATTCCCGTTTCCAATGAAGGCCTCAAAGCAGGCTAAATACCCATTTGCAGATTCTACAAAAAGAGTGTTTCAAAACTTCTCTTTCAAAAGAAAAGTTCAACTCTGTGATTTGAGTACACACATCACAAAGTAGTTACTGAGAATTCTTCTGTCTACTTTTTATGGGAAGATATTCCCTTTTCCACCATAGGCCTCGAAGCGCTCCAAGTTTCCACTTACAGATTCTAGAAAAAGAGAGTTTCAAAACTGCTGTATGGAACGGAAAGTTCAACTCTGTGAGTTGAATGCAAACTTCATAAAGAAGTTTCTGAGAATGCTTCTGTCTAGTTTTTATGTGAAGATATTCCCGTTTCCAATCAAAGCCTCAAAGCTATCCAAATAACCACTTGCAGATTCTACAAAAAGAGTGTTTCAAAAGTGCTGTATCAAAAGAAAGGTTCAACTCTGTGAGTTGACTACACACATCACAAAGAAGTTTCTGAGAATGCTTCTGTCTAGTTTTTAGGTGAGGATATTTCCTTTTTCACCCTAGGCCTCAAAGCGCTCCAAAGGTCCACTTCCAGATACTACAAAAAGAGTGTTTGAGAACTGCTGTATGAAAGGGAATGTTCAACTCAGTGAGTTGAATGCAAGCATCACAAAGAAGTTTCTGAGAATGCTTCTTTCTAGTTTTTATGGGAAGATATTCCCGTTTCCAATGAAATCCTCAAAGCTATCCAAATATGCACTTGCAGACTCTACAAAAAGAGGGTTTCAAATCTGATCTATGAGAAGATAAGTTCAACTCTGTGAGTTGAGTACACACATAACCAAGAAGTTTCAGAGAATGCTTCTGTCTAGTTTTTATGTGAAGATATTTCCTTTTTCACCCTAGGCCTCAAAGTGCTCCAACTGTCCACTTCCAGATACTACAAAAAGAGTGTTTCAAAACTGCTCTAGGAAAAGAAATGTTCAATTCTGTGAGTTGAATGCAAGCATCACCAACAAGTTTCTGAGGATGCTTCTGTCTAGTGTTTATGTGAAGATACACTCGTTTCCAGGGAAGGCCTCAAAGCTGTCCAGATATCCACTTGCAAATTCTACAAAAAGAGGGCTTCCAATCTGCTCTATCAAAAGAAAGTTTCAACTCTGTGAGTTGAATGCACACATTACAAAGAACTTTCTGAGAATGCTTCTGTCTACTTTTATGTGAAGATATTCCGTTTCCGATGAATTCCTCACTGCTGTCCTTATATCCGCTTGTAAATTCTACAAGAAGAGTGTTTCCAAACTGCTGTATCAAAGGAAAGGTTTAACTCTGTGAGTTGAGTACACAAATCAGAAAGTCGTTTCTGAGAATGCTTCTGTCAACTTTTTATGGGAAGATATCCCTTTTTCACCCTAAGTCTCAAATCACTCCAAATGTCCACTTGCAGATTCTACAAAAAGAATGTCTCAAAACTGCTGTGTGAAAAGGAAGGTACAACTCTGTGAGTTGAATGCGAACTTCATAAAGAACTTTCTGAGAATGCTTCTGTCTAGTTCTTATGTGTAGATATTCCCGTTTCCAATGAAAGCCTCAAAGCTATCCAAATATCCACTTGAAGATTCTAACAAAAAGAGTGTTTCAAAACTGCTGCATCAAAACCAAGTTTCAAATCTGTGAGTTGACTACTCATATCACAAAGCAGTTTCTGAGAATGCTTCTGTCGAATTTTTAGGTGAAGATATTGCCTTTTTCACCATAGGCCTCGAATCGCTCCTAACGTCCACTTCCAGATACCACAAAAAGATTGTTTCAGAACTGCTCTATCAAAAGAGAGCTCCAACTCTGGGAGTTGAATGCACACATCACAACGAAGTTTCTGAGAATGCTTCTGTCTAGTTTTATGTGAAGATATTCCCGTTTCCAATGAAGGCCTCAAAGCAGGCTAAATACCCATTTGGAGATTCTACAAAAAGAGTGTTTCAAAACTTCTCTTTCAAAAGAAAAGTTCAACTCTGTGAGTTGAGTACACACATCACAAAGTAGTTACTGAGAATTCTTCTGTCTACTTTTTATGGGAAGATATTCCCTTTTTCACCATAGGCCTCGAAGCGCTCCAAGTTTCCACTTACAGATTCTAGAAAAAGAGAGTTTCAAAACTGCTCTATGGAACGGAAACTTCAACTCTGTGAGTTGAATGCAAACTTCATAAAAGAAGTTTCTGAGAATGCTTCTGTCTAGTTTTTATGTGAAGATATTCCCGTTCCCAATGAAAGCCTCAAAGCTATCCAAATAACCACCTGCAGATTCTACAAAACGAGTGTTACAAACTGCTGTATCAAAAGAAAGGTTCAGCTCTGTGAGTTGACTACACACATCACAAAGAAGTTTCAGAGAATGCTTCTGTCTAGTTTTTATGTGAAGATATTTCCTTTTTCACCCTAGGCCTCAAAGTGCTCCAAATGTCCACTTCCAGATACTACAAAAAGAGTGTTTCAAAACTGCTCTAGGAAAAGAAATGTTCAATTCTGTGAGTTGAATGCAAGCATCACCAACAAGTTTCTGAGGATGCTTCTCTCCAGTGTTTGTTTCTGTGAAGATACACTCGTTTCCAAGAAAGGCCTCAAAGCTGTCCAGATATCCACTTGCAAATTCTACAAAAAGAGTGTTTCCAATCTGCTCTATCAAAAGAAAGTTTCAACTCAGTGTGTTGAATGCACACATCACAGAGAAGTTTCTGAGAATGCTTCTGTCTACTTTTATGTGAAGATATTCCGTTTCCGATGAATTCCTCACTGCTGTCCTTATATCCGCTTGTAAATTCTACAAGAAGAGTGTTTCCAAACTGCTGTATCAAAGGAAAGGTTTAACTCTGTGAGTTGAGTACACCAATCAGAACGTCGTTTCTGAGAATGCTTCTGTCAACTTTTTATGGGAAGATATCCCTTTTTCACCCTAAGTCTCAAATCACTCCAAATGTCCACTTGCAGATTCTACAAAAAGAATGTCTCAAAACTGCTGTGTGAAAAGGAAGGTACAACTCTGTGAGTTGAATGCGAACTTCATAAAGAACTTTCTGAGAATGCTTCTGTCTAGTTCTTATGTGTAGATATTCCCGTTTCCAATGAAAGCCTCAAAGCTATCCAAATATCCACTTGAAGATTCTAACAAAAAGAGTGTTTCAAAACTGCTGCATCAAAACCACGTTTCAAATCTGTGAGTTGACTACACATATCACAAAGCAGTTTCTGAGAATGCTTCTGTCGAATTTTTAGGTGAAGATATTGCCTTTTTCACCATAGGCCTCGAATCGCTCCAAACGTCCACTTCCAGATACCACAAAAAGATTGTTTCAGAACTGCTCTATCAAAAGAGAGCTTCAACTCTGGGAGTTGAATGCACACATCACAACGAAGTTTCTGAGAATGCTTCTGTCTAGTTTTATGTGAAGATATTCCCGTTTCCAATGAAGGCCTCAAAGCAGGCTAAATACCCATTTGCAGATTCTACAAAAAGAGTGTTTCAAAACTTCTCTTTCAAAAGAAAAGTTCAACCCTGTGAGTTGAGTACACACATCACAAAGTAGTTACTGAGAATTCTTCTGTCTACTTTTTATGGGAAGATATTCCCTTTTTCACCATAGGCCTCGAAGCGCTCCAAGTTTCCACTTACAGATTCTAGAAAAAGAGAGTTTCAAAACTGCTGTATGGAACGGAAAGTTCAACTCTGTGAGTTGAATGCAAACTTCATAAAGAAGTTTCTGAGAATGCTTCTGTGTAGTTTTTATGTGAAGATATTCCCGTTTCCAAAGAAAGCCTCAAAGCTATCCAAATATCCACTTGCAGATGCTACAAAAAGAGTGTTTCAAAACTGCTGTATCAAAAGAAAGGTTCAACTATGTGAGTTGAGTACACCCATCACAAAGAAGTTTCTGAGAATGCTTCTGTCTAGTTTTTATGTGAGGATATTTCCTTTTTCACCATAGGCCTCAAAGCGCTCCAAATGTCCATTTCCAGATACTACCAAAAGAGTGTTTCAAAACTGCTGTATGAAAGGGAATGTTCAACTCTGTGAGTTGAATGCAAACATCACAAAAAACTTCCTGAGAATGCTTCTGTCTAGTTTTTATGTGAAGATATTCCCGTTTCCAACGAAGGAATCAAAGCAGGCTAAATATCCACTTGCAGATTCTAAGAAAAGAGTGTTTCAAAACTTCTCTTTCAAAAGAAAATTTCAACTCCATGAGTTGAGTACACACATCACAAAGTAGTTTCTGAGAATACTTCTGTCTAGTTTTTATGTGAAGATATTTCCTTTTTCACCCTAGGCCTCAAAGTGCTCCAACTGTCCACTTCCAGATACTACAAAAAGAGTGTTTCAAAACTGCTCTAGGAAAAGAAATGTTCAATTCTGTGAGTTGAATGCAAGCATCACCAACAAGTTTCTGAGGATGCTTCTGTCTAGTGTTTATGTGAAGATACACTAGTTTCCAGGGAAGGCCTCAAAGCTGTCCAGATATCCACTTGCAAATTCTACAAAAAGAGGGCTTCCAATCTGCTCTATCAAAAGAAAGTTTCAACTCTGTGAGTTGAATGCACACATTACAAAGGACTTTCTGAGAATGCTTCTGTCTACTTTTATGTGAAGATATTCCGTTTCCGATGAATTCCTCACTGCTGTCCTTATATCCGCTTGTAAATTCTACAAGAAGAGTGTTTCCAAACTGCTGTATCAAAGGAAAGGTTTAACTCTGTGAGTTGAGTACACCAATCAGAACGTCGTTTCTGAGAATGCTTCTGTCTACTTTTTATGAGAAGATATTCCTTTTTCACCCTATGTCTCAAATCACTCCAAATGTCCACTTGCAGAATCTACAAAAAGAATGTCTCCAAACTGCTGTGTGAAAAGGAAGGTACAACTCTGTGAGTTGAATGCGAACTTCATAAAGAACTTTCTGAGAATGCTTCTGTCTAGTTCTTATGTGTAGATATTCCCGTTTCCAATGAAAGCCTCAAAGCTATCCAAATATCCACTTGAAGTTTCTAACAAAAGAGTGTCTCAAAACTGCTGCATCAAAACAAAGTTTCAACTCCGTGAGTTGACTACACATATCACAAAGCAGTTTCTGAGAATGCTTCTGTCTAGTTTTTAGGTGAAGATATTGCCTTTTTCACCATAGGCCTCAAATCGCTCCCAACGTCCACTTCCGGATACCACAAAAAGATTGTTTCAGAACTGCTCTATCAAAAGAGAGGTTCAACTCTGGGAGTTGAATGCACACATCACAACGAAGTTTCTGAGAATGCTTCTGTCTAGTTTTATGTGAAGATATTCCCGTTTCCAATGAAGGCCTCAAAGCAGGCTACATACCCATTTGCAGATTCTACAAAAAGGGTGTTTCAAAACTTCTCTTTCAAAAGAAAAGTTCAACTCCGTGAGTTGAGTACACACATCACAAATAGTTACTGAGAATTCTTCTGTCTACTTTTTAGGGGAAGATATTCCCTTTTTCACCATAGGCCTCGAAGCGCTCCAAGTTTCCACTTACAGATTCTAGAAAAAGAGAGTTTCAAAACTGCTGTATGGAACGGAAAGTTCAACTCTGTGAGTTGAATGCAAACTTCATAAAGAAGTTTCTGAGAATGCTTCTGTCTAGTTTTTATGTGAAGATATTCCCGTTTCCAATCAAAGCCTCAAAGCTATCAAAATAACCACTTGCAGATTCTACAAAAAGAGTGTTTCAAAAGTGCTGTATCAAAACAAAGGTTCAACTCTATGAGTTGACTACACACATCACAAAGAAGTTTCTGAGAATGCTTCTGTCTAGTTTTTAGGTGAGGATATTTCCTTTTTCACCCTAGGCCTCAAAGCGCTCCAAAGGTCCACTTCCAGATACTACAAAAAGAGTGTTTCAAAACTGCTGTATGAAAGGGAATGTTCAACTCTGTGAATTGAATGCAAGCATCACAAAGAAGTTTCTGAGAATGCTTCTTTCTGGTTTTTATGGGAAGATATTCCCGTTTCCAATGAAATCCTCAAAGCTATCCAAATATGCACTTGCAGACACTACAAAAAGAGGGTTTCAAATCTGATCTATGAGAAGAAAAGTTCAAATCTGTGAGTTGAGTACACACATAACCAAGAAGTTTCAGAGAATGCTTCTGTCTGGTTTTTATGTGAAGATATTTCCTTTTTCACCCTAGGCCTCAAAGTGCTCCAAATGTCCACTTCCAGATACTACAAAAAGAGTGTTTCAAAACTGCTCTAGGAAAAGAAATGTTCAATTCTGTGAGTTGAATGCAAGCATCACCAACAAGTTTCTGAGGATGCTTCTGTCTAGTGTTTATGTGAAGATACACTCGTTTCCAGGGAAGGCCTCAAAGCTGTCCAGATATCCACTTGCAAATTCTACAAAAAGAGGGCTTCCAGTCTGCTCTATCAAAAGAAAGTTTCAACTCTGTGAGTTGAATGCACACATTACAAAGAACTTTCTGAGAATGCTTCTGTCTACTTTTATGTGAAGATATTCCGTTTCCGATGAATTCCTCACTGCTGTCCTTATATCCGCTTGCAAATTCTACAAGAAGAGTGTTTCCAAACTGCTGTATCAAAGGAAAGGTTTAACTCTGTGAGTTGAGTACACAAATCAGAAAGTCGTTTCTGAGAATGCTTCTGTCAACTTTTTATGGGAAGATATCCCTTTTTCACCCTAAGTCTCAAATCACTCCAAATGTCCACTTGCAGATTCTACAAAAAGAATGTCTCAAAACTGCTGTGTGAAAAGGAAGGTACAACTCTGTGAGTTGAATGCGAACTTCATAAAGAACTTTCTGAGAATGCTTCTGTCTAGTTCTTATGTGTAGATATTCCCGTTTCCAATGAAAGCCTCAAAGCTATCCAAATATCCACTTGAAGATTCTAACAAAAAGAGTGTTTCAAAACTGCTGCATCAAAACCAAGTTTCAAATCTGTGAGTTGACTACTCATATCACAAAGCAGTTTCTGAGAATGCTTCTGTCGAATTTTTAGGTGAAGATATTGCCTTTTTCACCATAGGCCTCGAATCGCTCCAAACGTCCACTTCCAGATACCACAAAAAGATTGTTTCAGAACTGCTCTATCAAAAGAGAGCTTCAACTCTGGGAGTTGAATGCACACATCACAACGAAGTTTCTGAGAATGCTTCTGTCTAGTTTTATGTGAAGATATTCCCGTTTCCAATGAAGGCCTCAAAGCAGGCTAAATACCCATTTGCAGATTCTACAAAAAGAGTGTTTCAAAACTTCTCTTTCAAAAGAAAAGTTCAACTCTGTGAGTTGAGTACACACATCACAAAGTAGTTACTGAGAATTCTTCTGTCTACTTTTTATGGGAAGATATTCCCTTTTCCACCATAGGCCTCGAAGCGCTCCAAGTTTCCACTTACAGATTCTAGAAAAAGAGAGTTTCAAAACTGCTGTATGGAACGGAAACTTCAACTCTGTGAGTTGAATGCAAACTTCATAAACAACTTTCTGAGAATGCTTCTGTCTAGTTTTTCTGTGAAGATATTCCCGTTTCCAATCAAAGCCTCAAAGCTATCAAAATAACCACTTGCAGATTCTACAAAAAGAGTGTTTCAAAAGTGCTGTATCAAAAGAAAGGTTCAACTCTGTGAGTTGACTACACACATCACAAAGAAGTTTCTGAGAATGCTTCTGTCTAGTTTTTAGGTGAGGATATTTCCTTTTTCACCCTAGGCCTCAAACCGCTCCAAAGGTCCACTTCCAGATACTACAAAAAGAGTGTTTGAAAACTGCTGTATGAAAGGGAATGTTCAACTCAGTGAGTTGAATGCAAGCATCACAAAGAAGTTTCTGAGAATGCTTCTTTCTAGTTTTTATGGGAAGATATTCCCGTTTCCAATGAAATCCTCAAAGCTATCCATATATGCACTTGCAGACTCTACAAAAAGAGGGTTTCAAATCTGATCTATGAGAAGATAAGTTCAACTCTGTGAGTTGAGTACACACATAACCAAGAAGTTTCAGAGAATGCTTCTGTCTAGTTTTTATGTGAAGATATTTCCTTTTTCACCCTAGGCCTCAAAGTGCTCCAACTGTCCAATTCCAGATACTACAAAAAGAGTGTTTCAAAACTGCTCTAGGAAAAGAAATGTTCAATTCTGTGAGTTGAATGCAAGCATCACCAACAAGTTTCTGAGGATGCTTCTGTCTAGTGTTTATGTGAAGATACACTCGTTTCCAGGGAAGGCCTCAAAGCTGTCCAGATATCCACTTGCAAATTCTACAAAAAGAGGGCTTCCAATCTGCTCTATCAAAAGAAAGTTTCAACTCTGTGAGTTGAATGCACACATTACAAAGAACTTTCTGAGAATGCTTCTGTCTACTTTTATGTGAAGATATTCCGTTTCCGATGAATTCCTCACTGCTGTCCTTATATCCGCTTGCAAATTCTACAAGAAGAGTGTTTCCAAACTGCTGTATCAAAGGAAAGGTTTAACTCTGTGAGTTGAGTACACAAATCAGAAAGTCGTTTCTGAGAATGCTTCTGTCAACTTTTTATGGGAAGATATCCCTTTTTCACCCTAAGTCTCAAATCACTCCAAATGTCCACTTGCAGATTCTACAAAAAGAATGTCTCAAAACTGCTGTGTGAAAAGGAAGGTACAACTCTGTGAGTTGAATGCGAACTTCATAAAGAACTTTCTGAGAATGCTTCTGTCTAGTTCTTATGTGTAGATATTCCCGTTTCCAATGAAAGCCTCAAAGCTATCCAAACATCCACTTGAAGATTCTAACAAAAAGAGTGTTTCAAAACTGCTGCATCAAAACCACGTTTCAAATCTGTGAGTTGACTACACATATCACAAAGCAGTTTCTGAGAATGCTTCTGTCTAATTTTTAGGTGAAGATATTGCCTTTTTCACCATAGGCCTCAAATCGCTCCAAACGTCCACTTCCAGATACCACAAAAAGATTGTTTCAGAACTGCTCTATCAAAAGAGAGCTTCAACTCTGGGAGTTGAATGCGCACATCACAACGAAGTTTCTGAGAATGCTTCTGTCTAGTTTTATGTGAAGATATTCCCGTTTCCAATGAAGGCCTCAAAGCAGGCTAAATACCCATTTGCAGATTCTACAAAAAGAGTGTTTCAAAACTTCTCTTTCAAAAGAAAAGTTCAACTCTGTGAGTTGAGTACACACATCACAAAGTAGTTACTGAGAATTCTTCTGTCTACTTTTTATGGGAAGATATTCCCTTTTTCACCATAGGCCTCGAAGCGCTCCAAGTTTCCACTTACAGATTCTAGAAAAAGAGAGTTTCAAAACTGCTGTATGGAACGGAAACTTCAACTCTGTGAGTTGAATGCAAACTTCATAAAGAAGTTTCTGAGAATGCTTCTGTCTAGTTTTTATGTGAAGATATTCCCATTTCGAAAGAAAGCCTCAAAGCTACTCAAATAACCATTTGCAGATCCTACAAAAAGAGTGTTTCAAAACTGCTTTATCAAAAGAAAGGTTCAACTCTGTGAGTTGACTACACACATCACAAAGAAGTTTCTGAGAATGCTTCTGTCTAGTTTTTATGTGAGGATATTTCCTTTTTCACCATAGGCCTCAAAGCGCTCCAAATGTCCATTTCCAGATACTACCAAAAGAGTGTTTCAAAACTGCTGTATGAAAGGGAATGTTCAACTCTGTGAGTTGAATGCAAACATCACAAAGAAGTTCCTGAAAATGCT
>NC_000020.11:28504764-28508897 GCF_000001405.40 Homo sapiens | reverse complement strand
GCTTCTGTCTGGTTTTTATGGGAAGATATTTCCTTTTCCAACACTAGCCTGAATGCGCTCCAAATGGCCACTTCCAGATACGACAAAAGGCGTGTTTCAAACCTGTTCTATGAAAGGGAACGTTCCTTTCTGTGACTTGAATGCAAACATCACCAAGTAGTTTCTCAGAACACTGCTGACTGCTTTTAATATGTATTCCCGTTTCCAACGAAATCGTCAAAGCCAGCCAAATATCCACTTGCAGGTTCCACAGAAAGAGTGTTTCAAAACTGCTCTCTCAAAAGACATGTTCAACTCTGTCAGTTGAGGACACACATCACAAATAAGTTTCTGAGAATGCTTCTGTCTAGTTTTTATGGGAAGATATTTCCTTTTTCACCATAGGCCTCAAAGCGCTCCAAATGTCCACTTCCAGGGGATGGAAAAAGAGTGTTTCCAACCTACTCTATGAAAGCGAATGTTCAACTCCGTGACTTGAATGCAAACATCACAAGGAAGTTTCTGAGAATGCTTCTGTCTAGATTTTATATGAAGATATTCCCGTTTCCAACGAAATCCTCAAAGCTATCCAAATATCCACTTGGAGATTCTACAAAAAGAGTGTTTCAAAACTGTTCTATCAAAAGAAAGGTTCTACTCCGTCAGTTGAGGACACACATCACGAATAAGTTTCTGACAATGCTTCTGTGTAGTTTTTATGGGAAGATAGGTCCTTTTTCACCTTAGTCCGGAAAGCGCCCCAAAAGTCCAGTTACAGACACTACAAAAAGAGTGTTTCAGACCTGCTCTGTGAAAGGGAATGTTCAATTCTGTGACTTGAATGCAAACATCACAAAGAAGTTGCTGAGAATGCTGCTGTCTGCTTTTGATACCTTATCCCGTTTCCAACGAAATCCTCAAATCTAGCCAAGTATCCACTTGCAGTCTCCACAAAAAGAGTGTTTCAAAACTGTACTGTCCAAAGAAATGTTCAACTCTGTTAGTTGAGAACACACATCAGAGACTAGCTTCTGAGAATGCTTCTGTCCAGTTGTTACGGGAAGATATTTCCTTTTTCAACATAGGCCTGAAACCGCTTCAAATGTCCACTTCCAGATACTGCAAAGAGAGTGTTTCAAACCTTCTCTACGAAAGGGCATGTTCTCCTCTGTGACGTCAATGCAAACAACCCAAAGAAGTTTCTGAGAATGCTTCTGTCTGGATTTTATCTGAAGACAATCCCGTTTCGAACGAAATCCTCAAAGCTATGCAAATATGCTCCTGCAGATTCTACAAAAAGAGTGTTTCAAAACTGCTCTAGGAAAAGAAAGGTACGACCCTGTTAGTAGAGGGCAAACATCACAAACAAGTTGCCGAGAATGCTTCTGTCTGGTTTTTATGGGAAGATATTTCCTTTTCCAACACTAGCCTGAATGCGCTCCAAATGGACACTTCCAGATACGACAAAAGGCGTGTTTCAAACCTGTTCTATGAAAGGGAACGTTCCATTCTGTGACTTGAATGCAAACATCACCAAGTAGTTTCTCAGAACGCTGCTGTCTGCTTTTTATATGTATTCCCGTTTCCAACGAAATCGTCAAAGCCAGCCAAATATCCACTTGCAGGTTCCACAGAAAGAGTGTTTGAAAACTGCTCTCTCAAAAGACATTTTCAACTCTGTCAGTTGAGGACACACATCACAAAGAAGTTTCTGAGAATGCTTCTGTCTAGTTTTTATGGGAAGATATTTCCTTTTTCACCATAGGCCTCAAAGCTCTCCAAATGTCCACTTCCAGGGAATTGAAAAAGAGTGTTATCAACCTGCTCTACGAAAGCGAATGTTCAACTCCGTGACTTGAATGCAACCATCACAAGGAAGTTTCTGAGAATGCTTCTGTCTAGATTTTATATGAAGATATTCCCGTTTCCAACGAAATCCTCAAAGCTATCCAAATATCCACTTGGAGATTCTACAAAAAGAGTGTTTCAAAACTGCTCTATCAAAAGAAAGGTTCTACTCCGTCAGTTGAGGACACACATCACGAATAAGTTTCTGACAATGCTTCTGTCTAGTTTTTATGGGAAGATATGTCCTTTTTCACCTTAGTCCGGAAAGCGCTCCAAAAGTCCAGTTACAGACACTACAAAAAGAGTGTTTCAAAGCTGCTCTGTGAAAGAGAATGTTCAATTCTGTGACTTGAATGCAAACATCACAAAGAAGTTTCTGAGAATGCTGCTGTCTGCTTTTTACACGTAAACCCGTTTCCAACGATATCCTCAAATCTAGACAAATATCCTCTTGCAGACTCCTCAAAAAGAGTGTTTCAAAACTTTTCTGTCAAAAGAAATGTTCAACTCTGTTAGTTGAGGACACACATCAGAGACTAGCTTCTGAGAATGCTTCTGTCCAGTTGTTACGGGAAGATATTTCCTTTTTCAACATAGGCCTGAAACCGCTTCAAATTTCCACTTCCAGATACTGCAAAGAGAGTGTTTCAAACCTTCTCTACGAAAGGGCATGTTCTCCTCTGTGACGTCAATGCAAACATCCCAAAGAAGTTTCTGAGAATGCTTCTGTCTGGATTTTATCTGAAGACAATCCCGTTTCAAGGAAATCCTCAAAGCTATGCAAATATCCTCCTGCAGATTCTACAAAAAGAGTGTTTCAAAACTGCTCTATGAAAAGAAAGTTTCAATTCTGTTAGTCGAGGGCACACATCACAAACAAGTTGCTGAGAATGCTTCTGTCTAGTTTTTATGGGAAGATATTTCCTTTTTCAACACAAGCCTGAGTGCGCTCCAAATGGACACCTCCAGAGATGACAAAAGGAGTTTTTCAAACCTGTTCTATGAAAGGGAACGTTCCATTCTGTGACTTGAATGCAAAAATCACCAAGAAGTTTCTCAGAACGCTGCTGTCTGCTTTTTATATGTATTACCGTTTCCAACGAAATCGTCAAATCCAGCCAAATATCCCCTTCAGATTCCACAAAAAGAGTGTTTCAAAACTGCTCTCTCAAAAGAAATGTTCAACTCTGTCAGTTGAGGACACACATCACGAGTAAGTTTCTGAGAATGCGTCTGTCTAGTTTTTATGGGAAGATATGTCCTTTTTCACCTTAGGCCAGAAAGCGCTCCAAACGTCCACTTACAGACACTACAAAAAGAGTGTTTCAAAACTGCTCTGTGAAAGGGAATGTTCAATTCTGTGACTTGAATGCAAACATCACAAAGAAGTTTCTGAGAATGCTCCTGTCTGCTTTTTATACGTAATCCCGTTTCCAACGAAATCCTCAAATCTAGCCAAATATCCACTTACAGACTGCACAAAAAGAGTGTTTCAAAACTGTTCTGTCTAAAGAAATGTTGAACTCTGTTAGGTGAGGGCACACATGAAAGACTAGCTTCTGAGTATGCTTCTGTCCAGTTGTTACGAGAAGATATTTCCTTTTTCAACATTGTCTTGAAACTGCTCCATATGTCCACTTCCAGATACTATAAAAAGAGTGTTTCAAACCTTCTCTACGAAAGGGCATGTTCTCCTCTGTGACTTGAATGCAAACATCCCGAAGAAGTTTCTGAGAATGCTTCTGTCTGGATTTTATCTGAACACAATCCCGTTTCCAACGATATCTTCAAATCTATGCAAATATCCTCCTGCTGATTCTACAAAAAGAGTGTTTCAAAACTGCTCTATGAAGAGAAAGGTTCAACACTGTTAGTAGAGGGCACACATCACAAACAAGTTTCTGAGAATGCTTCTGTCTAGTTTTTATTTGAAGATATAAACTTTTTCAACACAAGCCTGAATGCGCTCCAAATGGACACTTCCAGATACGACAAAAGTGGTGTTTCAAACCTGTTCTATGAAAGGGAACGTTCCATTCTGTGACTTTAATGCAAACATCACCAAGAAGTTTCTCAGAACGGTGCTGTCTGCTTTTTATATGTATTCACGTTGCCAAGGAAATCGTCAAAGCCAGCCAAATATCCACTTGCAGATTCCACAAAAAGGTGTTTCAAAACTGCTCTCTCAAAAGAAATGTTCAACTCTGTCAGTTGAGGACACACATCACAAATAAGTTTCTGAGAATGCTTCTGTCTAGTTTTTATGGGAAGAAATTTCTTTTTGACCACAGGCCTCAAAGCGCTCC
>NC_000020.11:28494639-28499358 GCF_000001405.40 Homo sapiens | reverse complement strand
GTCAGAACTTTATCATGATGTATCTACTCAGCCAACAGAGTTGAACCTTTCTTTTGAGAGAGCAGTTTTGAATCACTCTTTTTGTGGAATATGCAAGTGGATATTAGGTCAGCTTGGAGGATTTCGTTGGAAACGGGAATACGTATAAAAGCACACAGCAGCATTGTCAGAAACTTCTTTGTGATGTTTGCATTCAAGTCACAGAATTCAACACTCCCTTTCACAGAGCAGATTTGAAACACTCTTTTTGTAGTGTCTGTAAGTGAACATTTGGATTGCTTTCAGGGCTAAGGTGAAAAAGGAAATATCTTCCCATAAAAACTTGACAGAAGCATTCTCAGAAACTCTTTTGTGATGTGTGCCCTCTACTGACGGAGTTGAACCTTTCTTTGCAATGAGCAGTTTTGAAACCATCTTTTTGTAGAATCTGCAAGAGGATATTTGGATAGCTTTGAGTATTTCTTGGGAAACGGGAATGTCTTCAGATAAACTCTAGACAGCAGCATTCTCAGAAACTTCTTTGGGATGTTTCAATTGAAGTCAGAGTGTTGAACATTCCCTTTCACAGAGCAGGTTTGAAACACTCTTTTTGTACTGTCTCTAAGTGAACATTTGGCGTGATTTCAGGCCTAACATGAAAAAGGACATATCTTCCCATAAAAACTAGACAGAAGCATTCTCAGAAACTTGTTTGTGATGTGTGCCCTCTACTGACAGAGTTGAACCTTTCTTTGCAAAGAGCAGTTTTGAAACCTTCTTTTGGTAGAATCTACAAGAGGATATTTGGATAGCTTTGAGTATTTCTTGGGAAACGGGAATGTCTTCAGATAAACTCTAGACAGAGGCATTCTCAGAAACTTCTTTGGGATGTTTCAATTGAAGTCACAGTGTTGAACATTCCGTTTCACAGAGCAGGTTTGAAACACTCCTTTTGTAGTGTCTCTAAGTGAATATTTGGCGTGCTTTCAGGCCTAACGTAAAAAGGAAATATCTTCCCATAAAAACTAGACAGAAGAATTATCAAAAACGTGTTTGTGATGTGTGCCCTCTACTGACAGAGTTGAACCTTTCTTTGCAAAGAGCAGTTTTGAAACCCTCTTTTTGTAGAATCTGCAAGAGGATATTTGCATAGCTTTGAGTATTTCTTGGGAAACGGGAATGTCTTTAGATAAACTCTAGACAGAAGCATTCTCAGAAACTGCTTTGGGATGTTGCATTCAAGTCACAGAGTTGAGCATTTCCTTTTATAGAGCAGGTTTGAAACACTCTATTTGTAGTATCTGGATGAGGACATTTGGAGCGCTTTCAGGCGTATGGTGAAAAAGGAAATATCTTCCCGTAAAAACTAGACAGAAGCATTCTCAGAAATTTATTTGTGATGTGTGCCATCAACAAACCGAGTTGAACCTTTCTTTCGATAGAGCAGTTTTGAAACACTCTTTTTGTAAAATCTGCAAGAGGATATTTGGATAGCTTTGAGGATTTCGTTGCAAACGGGAATGGCTTCATATAAACTCTAGACAGAAGCATTCTCAGAAACTTATTTGTGATGTATGTACTCAACTAACAGAACTAAACCATCGTTTTGAAGGAGCAGTGTTGAAACACTCTTTTTGCAGAATCTGCAAGTGGATATTTGCCTAGCTTGGAGGATTTCGTTGGAAACAGGATTATATATAAAAAGCAGACAGCAGAATTCTCATGAAGTTCTTTGTGATGTTTGCATTCAAGTCACAGAGTTGAACATTCCCTTTCATAGAAGAGGTTTGAAACACTCTTTTTGTAGTATCTGGATGTGGACATTTGGATCGCTTTCAGGCCTATGGTGAAAAAGGAAATATCTTCCCATGAAAACTAGACAGAAGCATTCCCAGAAACTTATTTGTGATGTGTGCCCTCAACTGACAGTGTTGAACCTTTGTTTTGATAGAGGAGTTCTGAAACACACTTTTTGTAAAATCTGCAAGAGGATATTGGGATAGCTTTGAGGATTTCGTTGGAAACGGGAATGTCTTCATGTAAACTCTAGACAGAAGCATTCTCAGAAACTGCTTTCGGATGTTTCAATTGAAGTCACAGTGTTGAACACTCCCTTTCATAGAGCAGGTTTGAAACACTCTTTTTGTAGTGTCTATAAGTGGACATTTGTAGGGCTTTCAGGTCTACGGTGAAAAAGCAGATATCTTCCAATAAAAACTAGATAGAAGCAATGTCAGAAACTTTATCATGATGTATCTACTCAGCCAACAGAGTTGAACCTTTCTTTTGAGAGAGCAGTTTTGAAACACTCTTTTTGTGCAATATGCAATTGGGTATTAGGCCAGCTTGGAGGATTTCGTTGGAAACGGGAATACGTATAAAAAGCAGACAGCAGCATTGTCAGAAACTACTTTGTGATGTTTGCATTCAAGTCACAGAATTGAACACTCCCTTTCACAGAGCAGGTTTGAAACACTCTTTTTGTAGTGTCTGTAAGTGAACATTTGGATTGCTTTCAGGCCTAAGGTGAAAAAGGAAATATCTTCCCATAAAAACTAGACAGTAGCATTCTCAGAAACTTGTGTGTGATGTGTGCCCTCTACTGACAGAGTTGAACCTTTCATTGCAAAGAGCAGTTTTGAAACCCACTTTTTGTAGAATCTGCAAGAGGATATTTGGATAGATTTGAGGATTTCTTGGGAAACGGGAATGTCTTCAGATAAACTCTAGACAGAAGCATTCTCAGAAACTTCTTTGGGATGTTGCATTCAAGTCACAGAGTAGAACATTCCCATTCATACAGCAGATTTGAAACACTCTTTTTGTTGTATCTGGAAGTGGATATTTGGAGCGCTTTCAGGTCTACGGTGAAAAAGGAGATATCTTCCAATAAAAACTAGATAAAAGCAATGTCAGAAACTTTATCATGATGTATCTACTCAGCCAACAGAGTTGAACCTTTCTTTTGAGAGAGCAGTTTTGAAACACTCTTTTTGTGGAATATGCAAGTGGATATTAGGTCAGCTTGGAGGATTTCGTTGGAAACGGGAATACGTATAAAAGCACACAGCAGCGTTGTCAGAAACTTCTTTGTGATGTTTGCATTCAAGTCACAGAATTCAACATTCCCTTTCACAGAGCAGATTTGAAACACTCTTTTTGTAGTGTCTGTAAGTGAACATTTGGATTGCTTTCAGGGCTAAGGTGAAAAAGGAAATATCTTCCCATAAAAACTTGACAGAAGCATTCTCAGAAACTCGTTTGTGATGTGTGCCCTCTACTGACGGAGTTGAACCTTTCTTTGCAATGAGCAGTTTTGAAACCATCTTTTTGTAGAATCTGCAAGACGATATTTGGATAGCTTTGAGTATTTCTTGGGAAACGGGAATGTCTTCAGATAAACTCTAGACAGAAGCATTCTCAGAAACTTCTTTGGGATGTTTCAATTGAAGTCACAGTGTTGAACATTCCCTTTCACAGAGCAGGTTTGAAACACTCTTTTTGTAGTGTCTATAAGTGAACATTTGGCGTGCTTTCAGGCCTAACGTGAAAAAGGAAATATCTTCCCATAAAAACTAGACAGAAGCATTCTCAGAAACTTGTTTGTGATGTGTGCCCTCTACTGACAGAGTTGAACCTTTCTTTGCAAAGAGCAGCTTTGGAACACTCTTTTTGTAGAATCTGCAAGAGGATATTTGGATAGCTTTGAGGATTTCGTTGGAAACGGGTATGTCTTCAGATAAACTCTAGACAGAAGCATTCCCAGAAACTTCTTTGGGATGTTGCATTCAAGTCACAGAGTAGAACATTCCCATTCATAGAGCAGATTTGAAACACTCTTTTTGTAGTATCTGGAAGTGGACATTTGGAGCGCTTTCAGGCCTATGTTGAAAAAGGAAATATCTTCCCATAAAAACTAGACGGAAGCATTCTCAGAAACTTACTTGTGATGTGTTTGCTCAACTAACAGAATTGAACCATCGTTTTGAAGGAGCAGTTTTGAAACACTGTTTTCGTGGAATCTGCAAGTGGATATTTGGCTAGCTTTGAGGATTTCATTGGAAAAGGGATTACATATAAAAAGGAGACAGCAGCATTCTCAGAAACTTCTTTGTGATGTTTGCATTCAAGTCACAGATTTGAGCATTCCCTTTCATAGAGCAGGTTTGAAACCCTCTTTTTGTAGTATCTGGATGTGGACATTTGGATCGCTTTCAGGCGTATGGTGATAAAGGAAATATCTTCCCATAAAAACTAGACAGAAGCATTCTCAGAAACTTATTTGTGATGTGTGCCCTCAACTGACAGTGTTGAACCTTTGTTTTGATAGAGCAGTTCTGAAACACACTTTTTGTAAAATCTGCAAGAGGATATTTGGATAGCTTTGAGGATTTCGTTGGAAACGGGAATGTCTTCATGTAAACTCTAGACAGAAGCATTCTCAGAAACTGCTTTGGGATGTTTCAATTGAAGTCCCAGTGTTGAACATTCCCTTTCATAGAGCAGGTTTGAAACACTCTTTTTGTACTATCTGGAAGTGGACATTTGGAGCGCTTTCAGGTCTACGGTGAAAAAGGAGATATCTTCCAATAAAAACTAGATAGAAGCAATGTCAGAACTTTTTTCATGATGTATCTACTCAGCAAACAGAGTTGAACCTTTCTTTTGAGAGAGCAGTTTCGAAACACTCTTTCTGTGGAATATGCAAGTGGGTATTAGGCCAGCTTGGAGGATTTCGTG
>NC_000020.11:28446067-28494539 GCF_000001405.40 Homo sapiens | reverse complement strand
GCTGTCTCCTTTGTATATGTAATCCCGTTTCCAACGAAATCCTCAAAGCTAGCCAAATATCCACTTGCAGATTCCACGAAAACAGTGTTTCAAAACTGCTCCTTCAAAACGATGGTTCAATTCTGTTAGTTGAGCAAACACATCACAAGTAAGTTTCTGAGAATGCTTCCGTCTAGTTTTTATGGGAAGATATTTCCTTTTTCAACATAGGCCTGAAAGCGCTCCAAATGTCCACTTCCAGATACTACAAAAAGAGTGTTTCAAATCTGCTCTATGAATGGGAATGTTCTACTCTGTGACTTGAATGCAACATCCCAAAGAAGTTTCTGAGAATGCTTCTGTCTAGAGTTTATCTGAAGACATACCCGTTTCCAACGAAATCCTCCAAGCTATCCAAATATCCTCTTGCAGATTCTACAAAAAGAGTGTTTCAAAGCTGCTCTTTGCAAAAAAAGGTTCAACTCTGTCAGTAGAGGGCACACATCATGAACAAGTTTCTGAGAATGCTTCTGTCTAGCTTTTATGGGAAGATATTTCCTTTTTCACGTTAGGCCTGAAAGCACGCCAAATGTTCACTTATAGACACTACAAAAAGAGTGTTTCAAACCTGCTCTGTGAAAGGGAATGTTCAACACTGTGACTTCAATTGAAACATCCCAAAGAAGTTTCTGAGAATGCTTCTGTCTAGAGTTTATCTGAAGACATACCCGTTTCCAACGAAATCCTCAAAGCTATCCACATATCCTCTTGCAGATTCTACAAAAAGAGTGTTTCAAAGCTGCTCTTTGCAAAGAAAGGTTCAACTCTGTCAGTAGAGGGCACACATCACAAACAAGTTTCTGAGAATGCTTCTGTCTAGTTTTTATGGGAAGATATTTCCTTTTTCACGTTAGGCCTGAAAGCACGCCAAATGTTCACTTATAGACACTACAAAAAGAGTGTTTCAAACCTGCTCTGTGAAAGGGAATGTTCAACACTGTGACTTCAATTGAAACATCCCAAAGAAGTTTCTGAGAATGCTTCTGTCTAGAGTTTATCTGAAGACATTCCCGTTTCCCAAGAAATCTTCAAAGCTATCCAAATATCCTCTTGCAGATTCTACAAAAAGAGTGTTTCAAAACTGCTCTTTGCAAAGAAAGGTTCAACTCTGTCAGTAGAGGGCACACATCACAAACAAGTTTCTGAGAATGCTTCTGTCTAGTTTTTATGGGAAGATATTTCCTTTTTCACCTTAGGCCTGAAAGCAATCCAAATGTTCACTTACAGACACTACAAAAAGAGTGTTTCAAACCTGCTCTGTGAAAGGGAGTGTTCAATTCTGTGACTTGAATGCAAACATCACAAAGTAGTTTCTGACAATGCTGCTGTCTGCTTTTTATACGTATTCCCGTTTCCAACGAAATCCTCCAAGCTGGCCTAATACCCACTTGCATATTCCACAAAAAGAGTGTTTCAAAACTGCTCTCTCAAAAGTAAGGTTCAACTCTGTTTGCTGAGTAGATACATCATGAAAAAAGTTCTGACATTGCTTCTATCTAGTTTTTATTGGAAGATATCTCCTTTTTCACCGTAGACCTGAAAGCGCTCCAAATGTCCACTTCCAGATAGTACAAAAAGAGTGTTTCAAACCTGCTCTATGAAAGGGAATGTTCAACACTGGGACTTCAATTGAAACATCCCAAAGCAGTTTCTGAGAATGCTTCTGTCCAGAGTTTACATGAAGACATTCCCGTTTCCAACGAAATCCTCAAAGCTATCCAAATATCCTCTTGCAGATTTTACAAAAAGTGTGTTTCAGAACTGCTCTATCAAAACAAAGGTTCAACACTGTCAGTTGAGGGCACACATCGCAAATAAGTTTCTGAGAATGCTGCTGTCTGCTTTTTGTATGTAATCCCGTTTCCAACGAAATCCTCCCAGCTAGCCAAATATCCACTTGCAGATTCCGCAAAAAGAGTGTTTCAAAACTGCTCCTTCAAAACGATGGTTTAGTTCTGTTAGTTGAGTACATACATCACAGATAAGTTTCTGAGAATGCTTCTGTCTAGTTTTTATGGGAGGATATTTCCTTTTTCAACACAAGCCTGAATGCGCTCCGAATGGACACTTCCAGATATGACAAAAGGCGTGTTTCAAACCTGCTCTCTCAAAGGGAATGTTCAACTCTGTGACTTCAATGCAAACATCACAAAGAAGTTTCTGAGAATGCTGCTGTCTGCTTTTTACATGTATTCCCGTTTCCAACGAAATCCTCAAAGCTGCCCTAATATCCACTTGCATATTCCACAAAAAGAGTGTTGCAAAACTGCTCTCTCAAAAGAAAGGTTCAACTCTGTTAGCTGAGTAGATCCATCACATAAAAGTTTCTGACATTGCTTCTATCTAGATTTTCTTGGAAGATATTTCCATTTTCACCGTCGTCCTGAAAGCGCTCCAAATGTCCACTTCCAGGGAATGCAGAAAGAGTGTTTCCAACCTGCTCTATAAAAGGGAATGTTCAACACTGGGACTTCAATCGAAACATCCCAACGAAGTTTCTGAGAATGCTTCTGTCTAGAGTTTATATGAAGCCATTCCCGTTTGCAACGAAATCCTCAAAGCTATCCAAATATCCTCTTGCAGATTTTACAAAAAGAGTGTTTCAAAACTGCTCTATCAAAAGAAAGGTTCAACTCTGTTAGTTGAGGGCACACATCACAAATAAATTTCTGAGAATCTTCTGTCTAGTTTTTACGGGAAGATATTTCCTTTTTCACCATACGCCTGAAAGCGCTCCAAATGTCCTCATCCAGATACTACAAAAAGAGTGTTTCCAACCTGCTCTATGAAAGGGAATGCTCAACTCTGTGACTTGAATGCAGACATCACAAAGAAGTTTCTGAGAATGCTGCTGTCTCCTTTTTATATGTAATCCCGTTTCCAACGAAATCCTCAAAGCTAGCCAAATATCCACTTGCAGATTCCACGAAAACAGTGTTTCAAAACTGCTCCTTCAAAACGATGGTTCAATCCTGTTAGTTGAGCAAACACATCACAAATAAGTTTCTGAGAATGCTTCCGTCTAGTTTTTATGGGAAGATATTTCCTTTTTCAACATAGGCCTGAAAGCGCTCCAAATGTCCACTTCCAGATACTTCAAAAAGAGTGTTTCAAATCTGCTCTATGAATGGGAATGTTCTACTCTGTGACTTGAATGCAACATCCCACAGAAGTTTCTGAGAATGCTTCTGTCTAGAGTTTATCTGAAGACATACCCGTTTCCAACGAAATCCTCAAAGCTATCCAAATATCCTCTTGCAGATTCTACAAAAAGAGTGTTTCAAAGCTGCTCTTTGCAAAGAAAGGTTCAACTCTGTCAGTAGAGGGCACACATCACGAACAAGTTTCTGAGAATGCTTCTGTCTAGTTTTTATGGGAAGATATTTCCTTTTTCACGTTAGGCCTGAAAGCACGCCAAATGTTCACTTATAGACACTACAAAAAGAGTGTTTCAAACCTGCTCTGTGAAAGGGAATGTTCAACACTGTGACTTCAATTGAAACATCCCAAAGAAGTTTCTGAGAATGCTTCTGTCTAGAGTTTATCTGAAGACATTCCCGTTTCCCAAGAAATCCTCAAAGCTATCCAAATATCCTCTTGCAGATTCTACAAAAAGAGTGTTTCAAAACTGCTCTTTGCAAAGAAAGGTTCAACTCTGTCAGTAGAGGGCACACATCACAAACAAGTTTCTGAGAATGCTTCTGTCTAGTTTTTATGGGAAGATATTTCCTTTTTCACCTTAGGCCTGAAAGCAATCCAAATGTTCACTTACAGACACTACAAAAAGAGTGTTTCAAACCTGCTCTGTGAAAGGGAGTGTTCAGTTCTGTGACTTGAATGCAAACATCACAAAGTAGTTTCTGACAATGCTGCTGTCTGCTTTTTATACGTATTCCCGTTTCCAACGAAATCCTCCAAGCTGGCCTAATACCCACTTGCATATTCCACAAAAGGAGTGTTTCAAAACTGCTCTCTCAAAAGAAAGGTTCAACTCTGTTTGCTGAGTAGATACATCATGAAAAAAGTTCTGACATTGCTTCTATCTAGTTTTTATTGGAAGATATCTCCTTTTTCACCGTAGACCTGAAAGCGCTCCAAATGTCCACTTCCAGATAGTACAAAAAGAGTGTTTCAAACCTGCTCTATGAAAGGGAATGTTCAACACTGGGACTTCAATTGAAACATCCCAAAGCAGTTTCTGAGAATGCTTCTGTGTAGAGTTTACATGAAGACATTCCCGTTTCCAACGAAATCCTCAAAGCTATCCAAATATCCTCTTGCAGATTTTACAAAAAGTGTGTTTCAGAACTGCTCTATCAAAACAAAGGTTCAACACTGTCAGTTGAGGGCACACATCACAAATAAGTTTCTGAGAATGCTGCTGTCTGCTTTTTGTATGTAATCCCGTTTCCAACGAAATCCTCCCAGCTAGCCAAATATCCACTTGCAGATTCCGCAAAAAGAGTGTTTCAAAACTGCTCCTTCAAAACGATGGTTTAGTTCTGTTAGTTGAGTACATACATCACAGATAAGTTTCTGAGAATGCTTCTGTCTAGTTTTTATGGGAGGATATTTCCTTTTTCAACACAAGCCTGAATGCGCTCCGAATGGACACTTCCAGATATGACAAAAGGCGTGTTTCAAACCTGCTCTCTCAAAGGGAATGTTCAACTCTGTGACTTCAATGCAAACATCACAAAGAAGTTTCTGAGAATGCTGCTGTCTGCTTTTTACATGTATTCCCGTTTCCAACGAAATCCTCAAAGCTGCCCTAATATCCACTTGCATATTCCACAAAAAGAGTGTTGCAAAACTGCTCTCTCAAAAGAAAGGTTCAACTCTGTTAGCTGAGTAGATCCATCACAGAAAAGTTTCTGACGTTGCTTCTATCTAGATTTTCTTGGAAGATATTTCCATTTTCACCGTCGTCCTGAAAGCGCTCCAAATGTCCACTTCCAGGGAATGCAGAAAGAGTGTTTCCAACCTGCTCTATAAAAGGGAATGTTCAACACTGGGACTTCAATCGAAACATCCCAACGAAGTTTCTGAGAATGCTTCTGTCTAGAGTTTATATGAAGCCATTCCCGTTTGCAACGAAATCCTCAAAGCTATCCAAATATCCTCTTGCAGATTTTACAAAAAGAGTGTTTCAAAACTGCTGTATCAAAAGAAAGGTTCAACTCTGTTAGTTGAGGGCACACATCACAAATAAATTTCTGAGAATGCTTCTGTCTAGTTTTTACGGGAAGATATTTCCCTTTTCACCATACGCCTGAAAGCGCTCCAAATGTCCTCATCCAGATACTACAAAAAGAGTGTTTCCAACCTGCTCTATGAAAGGGAATGCTCAACTCTGTGAATTGAATGCAGACATCACAAAGAAGTTTCTGAGAATGCTGCTGTCTCCTTTTTATATGTAATCCCGTTTCCAACGAAATCCTCAAAGCTAGCCAAATATCCACTTGCAGATTCCACGAAAACAGTGTTTCAAAACTGCTCCTTCAAAACGATGGTTCAATCCTGTTAGTTGAGCAAACACATCACAATTAAGTTTCTGAGAATGCTTCCGTCTAGTTTTTATGGGAAGATATTTCCTTTTTCAACATAGGCCTGAAAGCGCTCCAAATGTCCACTTCCAGATACTACAAAAAGAGTGTTTCAAATCTGCTCTATGAATGGGAATGTTCTACTCTGTGACTTGAATGCAACATCCCAAAGAAGTTTCTGAGAATGCTTCTGTCTAGAGTTTATCTGAAGACATACCCGTTTCCAACGAAATCCTCCAAGCTATCCAAATATCCTCTTGCAGATTCTACAAAAAGAGTGTTTCAAAGCTGCTCTTTGCAAAGAAAGGTTCAACTCTGTCAGTAGAGGGGACACATCAAGAACAAGTTACTGAGAATGCTTCTGTCTAGTTTTTATGGGAAGATATTTCCTTTTTCACGTTAGGCCTGAAAGCACGCCAAATGTTCACTTATAGACACTACAAAAAGAGTGTTTCAAACCTGCTCTGTGAAAGGGAATGTTCAACACTGTGACTTCAATTGAAACATCCCAAAGAAGTTTCTGAGAATGCTTCTGTCTAGAGTTTATCTGAAGACATACCCGTTTCCAACGAAATCCTCAAAGCTATCCAAATATCCTCTTGCAGATTCTACAAAAAGAGTGTTTCAAAGCTGCTCTTTGCAAAGAAAGGTTCAAATCTGTCAGTAGAGGGCACACATCACAAACAAGTTTCTGAGAATGCTTTCTGTCTAGTTTTTATGGGAAGATATTTCCTTTTTCACCTTAGGCCTGAAAGCAATCCATATGTTCACTTACAGACACTACAAAAAGAGTGTTTCAAACCTGCTCTGTGAAAGGGAGTGTTCAATTCTGTGACTTGAATGCAAACATCACAAAGTAGTTTCTGACAATGCTGCTGTCTGCTTTTTATACGTATTCCCGTTTCCAACGAAATCCTCCAAGCTGGCCTAATACCCACTTGCATATTCCACAAAAAGAGTGTTTCAAACCTGCTCTCTCAAAAGAAAGGTTCAACTCTGTTAGCTGAGTAGATACATCATGAAAAAAGTTCTGACATTGCTTCTATCTAGTTTTTATTGGAAGATATCTCCTTTTTCACCGCAGACCTGAAAGCGCTCCAAATGTCCACTTCCAGATAGTACAAAAAGAGTGTTTCAAACCTGCTCTATGAATGGGAATGTTCAACACTGGGTCTTCAATTGAAACATCCCAAAGCAGTTTCTGAGAATGCTTCTGTCTAGAGTTTACATGAAGACATTCCCGTTTCCAACGAAATCCTCAAAGTTATCCAAATATCCTCTTGCAGATTTTACAAAAAGTGTGTTTCAGAACTGCTCTATCAAAACAAAGGTTCAACACTGTCAGTTGAGGGCACACATCACAAATAAGTTTCTGAGAATGCTGCTGTCTGCTTTTTGTATGTAATCCCGTTTCCAACGAAATCCTCCCAGCTAGCCAAATATCCACTTGCAGATTCCGCAAAAAGAGTGTTTCAAAACTGCTCCTTCAAAACGATGGTTTAGTTCTGTTAGTTGAGTACATACATCACAGATAAGTTTCTGAGAATGCTTCTGTCTAGTTTTTCTGGGAGGATATTTCCTTTTTCAACACAAGCCTGAATGCGCTCCGAATGGACACTTCCAGATATGACAAAAGGCGTGTTTCAAACCTGCTCTCTCAAAGGGAATGTTCAACTCTGTGACTTCAATGCAAACATCACAAAGAAGTTTCTGAGAATGCTGCTGTCTGCTTTTTACATGTATTCCCGTTTCCAACGAAATCCTCAAAGCTGCCTTAATATCCACTTGCATATTCCACAAAAAGAGTGTTGCAAAACTGCTCTCTCAAAAGAAAGGTTCAACTCTGTTAGCTGAGTAGTTCCATCACAGAAAAGTTTCTGACGTTGCTTCTATCTAGATTTTCTTGGAAGATATTTCCATTTTCACCGTCGTCCTGAATGCGCTCCAATTGTCCACTTCCAGGGAATGCAGAAAGAGTGTTTCCAACCTGCTCTATAAAAGGGAATGTTCAACACTGGGACTTCAATCGAAACATCCCAACGAAGTTTCTGAGAATGCTTCTGTCTAGAGTTTATATGAAGCCATTCCCGTTTGCAACGAAATCCTCAAAGCTATCCAAATATCCTCTTGCAGATTTTACAAAAAGAGTCTTTCAAAACTGCTCTATCAAAAGAAAGGTTCAACTCTGTTAGTTGAGGGCACACATCACAAATAAATTTCTGAGAATGCTTCTGTCTAGTTTTTACGGGAAGATATTTCCTTTTTCACCATAGGCCTGAAAGCGCTCCAAATGTCCTCATCCAGATACTACAAAAAGAGTGTTTCCAACCTGCTCTATGAAAGGGAATGCTCAACTCTGTGAATTGAATGCAGACATCACAAAGAAGTTTCTGAGAATGCTGCTGTCTCCTTTGTATATGTAATCCCGTTTCCAACGAAATCCTCAAAGCTAGCCAAATATCCACTTGCAGATTCCACGAAAACAGTGTTTCAAAACTGCTCCTTCAAAACGATGGTTCAATCCTGTTAGTTGAGCAAACACATCACAAATAAGTTTCTGAGAATGCTTCCGTCTAGTTTTTATGGGAAGATATTTCCTTTTTCAACATAGGCCTGAAAGCGCTCCAAATGTCCACTTCCAGATACTACAAAAAGAGTGTTTCAAATCTGCTCTATGAATGGGAATGTTCTACTCTGTGACTTGAATGCAACATCCCAAAGAAGTTTCTGAGAATGCTTCTGTCTAGAGTTTATCTGAAGACATACCCGTTTCCAACGAAATCCTCAAAGCTATCCAAATATCCTCTTGCAGATTCTACAAAAAGAGTGTTTCAAAGCTGCTCTTTGCAAAGAAAGGTTCAACTCTGTCAGTAGAGGGCACACATCACGAACAAGTTTCTGAGAATGCTTTCTGTCTAGTTTTTATGGGAAGATATTTCCTTTTTCACGTTACGCCTGAAAGCACGCCAAATGTTCACTTATAGACACTACAAAAAGAGTGTTTCAAACCTGCTCTGTGAAAGGGAATGTTCAACACTGTGACTTCAATTGAAACATCCCAAAGAAGTTTCTGAGAATGCTTTCTGTCTAGAGTTTATCTGAAGACATTCCCGTTTCCCAAGAAATCCTCAAAGCTATCCAAATATCCTCTTGCAGATTCTACAAAAAGAGTGTTTCAAAACTGCTCTTTGCAAAGAAAGGTTCAACTCTGTCAGTAGAGGGCACACATCACAAACAAGTTTCTGAGAATGCTTCTGTCTAGTTTTTATGGGAAGATATTTCCTTTTTCACCTTAGGCCTGAAAGCAATCCAAATGTTCACTTACAGACACTACAAAAAGAGTGTTTCAAACCTGCTCTGTGAAAGGGAGTGTTCAATTCTGTGACTTGAATGCAAACATCACAAAGTAGTTTCTGACAATGCTGCTGTCTGCTTTTTATACGTATTCCCGTTTCCAACGAAATCCTCCAAGCTGGCCTAATACCCACTTGCATATTCCACAAAAAGAGTGTTTCAAAACTGCTCTCTCAAAAGAAAGGTTCAACTCTGTTTGCTGAGTAGATACATCATGAAAAAAGTTCTGACATTGCTTATCTATCTAGTTTTTATTGGAAGATATCTCCTTTTTCACCGTAGACCTGAAAGCGCTCCAAATGTCCACTTCCAGATAGTACAAAAAGAGTGTTTCAAACCTGCTCTATGAAAGGGAATGTTCAACACTGGGACTTCAATTGAAACATCCCAAAGCAGTTTCTGAGAATGCTTCTGTCTAGAGTTTACATGAAGACATTCCCGTTTCCAACGAAATCCTCAAAGCTATCCAAATATCCTCTTGCAGATTTTACAAAAAGTGTGTTTCAGAACTGCTCTATCAAAACAAAGGTTCAACACTGTCAGTTGAGGGCACACATCACAAATAAGTTTCTGAGAATGCTGCTGTCTGCTTTTTGTATGTAATCCCGTTTCCAACGAAATCCTCCCAGCTAGCCAAATATCCACTTGCAGATTCCGCAAAAAGAGTGTTTCAAAACTGCTCCTTCAAAACGATGGTTTAGTTCTGTTAGTTGAGTACATACATCACAGATAAGTTTCTGAGAATGCTTCTGTCTAGTTTTTATGGGAGGATATTTCCTTTTTCAACACAAGCCTGAATGCGCTCCGAATGGACACTTCCAGATATGACAAAAGGCGTGTTTCAAACCTGCTCTCTCAAAGGGAATGTTCAACTCTGTGACTTCAATGCAAACATCACAAAGAAGTTTCTGAGAATGCTGCTGTCTGCTTTTTACATGTATTCCCGTTTCCAACGAAATCCTCAAAGCTGCCCTAATATCCACTTGCATATTCCACAAAAAGAGTGTTGCAAAACTGCTCTCTCAAAAGAAAGGTTCAACTCTGTTAGCTGAGTAGATCCATCACAGAAAAGTTTCTGACGTTGCTTCTATCTAGATTTTCTTGGAAGATATTTCCATTTTCACCGTCGTCCTGAAAGCGCTCCAAATGTCCACTTCCAGGGAATGCAGAAAGAGTGTTTCCAACCTGCTCTATAAAAGGGAATGTTCAACACTGGGACTTCAATCGAAACATCCCAACGAAGTTTCTGAGAATGCTTCTGTCTAGAGTTTATATGAAGCCATTCCCGTTTGCAACGAAATCCTCAAAGCTATCCAAATATCCTCTTGCAGATTTTACAAAAAGAGTGTTTCAAAACTGCTCTATCAAAAGAAAGGTTCAACTCTGTTAGTTGAGGGCACACATCACAAATAAACTTCTGAGAATGCTTCTGTCTAGTTTTCATGGGAAGATATTTCCTTTTTCACCATAGGCCTGAAAGCGATCCAAATGTCCACATCCAGATACTACAAAAAGAGTGTTTCAAACCTGCTCTATGAAAGGGAATGTTCAACTCTGTGACTTGAATGCAAACATCACAAAGAAGTTTCTGAGAATGCTGCTGTCTCCTTTTTATATGTAATCCCGTTTCCAACGAAATCCTCAAAGCTAGCCAAATATCCACTTGCAGATTCCACGAAAACAGTGTTTCAAAACTGCTCCTTCAAAACGATGGTTCAATCCTGTTAGTTGAGCAAACACATCACAAATAAGTTTCTGAGAATGCTTCCGTCTAGTTTTTATGGGAAGATATTTCCTTTTTCAACATAGGCCTGAAAGCGCTCCAAATGTCCACTTCCAGATACTACAAAAAGAGTGTTTCAAATCTGCTCTATGAATGGGAATGTTCTACTCTGTGACTTGCATGCAACATCCCAAAGAAGTTTCTGAGAATGCTTCTGTCTATAGTTTATCTGAAGACATACCCGTTTCCAACGAAATCCTCCAAGCTATCCAAATATCCTCTTGCAGATTCTACAAAAAGAGTGTTTCAAAGCTGCTCTTTGCAAAGAAAGGTTCAACTCTGTCAGTAGAGGGCACACATCACGAACAAGTTTCTGAGAATGCTTCTGTCTAGTTTTTATGGGAAGATATTTCCTTTTTCACGTTAGGCCTGAAAGCACGCCAAATGTTCAATTATAGACACTACAAAAAGAGTGTTTCAAACCTGCTCTGTGAAAGGGAATGTTCAACACTGTGACTTCAATTGAAACATCCCAAAGAAGTTTCTGAGAATGCTTCTGTCTAGAGTTTATCTGAAGACATTCCCGTTTCCCAAGAAATCCTCAAAGCTATCCAAATATCCTCTTGCAGATTCTACAAAAAGAGTGTTTCAAAACTGCTCTTTGCAAAGAAAGGTTCAACTCTGTCAGTAGAGGGCACACATCACAAACAAGTTTCTGAGAATGCTTCTGTCTAGTTTTTATGGGAAGATATTTCCTTTTTCACCTTAGGCCTGAAAGCAATCCAAATGTTCACTTACAGACACTACAAAAAGAGTGTTTCAAACCTGCTCTGTGAAAGGGAGTGTTCAATTCTGTGACTTGAATGCAAACATCACAAAGTAGTTTCTGACAATGCTGCTGTCTGCTTTTTATACGTATTCCCGTTTCCAACGAAATCCTCCAAGCTGGCCTAATACCCACTTGCATATTCCACAAAAAGAGTGTTTCAAAACTGCTCTCTCAAAAGAAAGGTTCAACTCTGTTAGCTGAGTAGATACATCATGAAAAAAGTTCTGACATTGCTTCTATCTAGTTTTTATTGGAAGATATCTCCTTTTTCACCGTAGACCTGAAAGCGCTCCAAATGTCCACTTCCAGATAGTACAAAAAGAGTGTTTCAAACCTGCTCTATGAAAGGGAATGTTCAACACTGGGACTTCAATTGAAACATCCCAAAGCAGTTTCTGAGAATGCTTCTGTGTAGAGTTTACATGAAGACATTCCCGTTTCCAACGAAATCCTCAAAGCTATCCAAATATCCTCTTGCAGATTTTACAAAAAGTGTGTTTCAGAACTGCTCTATCAAAACAAAGGTTCAACACTGTCAGTTGAGGGCACACATCACAAATAAGTTTCTGAGAATGCTGCTGTCTGCTTTTTGTATGTAATCCCGTTTCCAACGAAATCCTCCCAGCTAGCCAAATATCCACTTGCAGATTCCGCAAAAAGAGTGTTTCAAAACTGCTCCTTCAAAACGATGGTTTAGTTCTGTTAGTTGAGTACATACATCACAGATAAGTTTCTGAGAATGCTTCTGTCTAGTTTTTATGGGAGGATATTTCCTTTTTCAACACAAGCCTGAATGCGCTCCGAATGGACACTTCCAGATATGACAAAAGGCGTGTTTCAAACCTGCTCTCTCAAAGGGAATGTTCAACTCTGTGACTTCAATGCAAACATCACAAAGAAGTTTCTGAGAATGCTGCTGTCTGCTTTTTACATGTATTCCCGTTTCCAACGAAATCCTCAAAGCTGCCCTAATATCCACTTGCATATTCCACAAAAAGAGTGTTGCAAAACTGCTCTCTCAAAAGAAAGGTTCAACTCTGTTAGCTGAGTAGATCCATCACAGAAAAGTTTCTGACATTGCTTCTATCTAGATTTTCTTGGAAGATATTTCCATTTTCACCGTCGTCCTGAAAGCGCTCCAAATGTCCACTTCCAGGGAATGCAGAAAGAGTGTTTCCAACCTGCTCTATAAAAGGGAATGTTCAACACTGGGACTTCAATCGAAACATCCCAACGAAGTTTCTGAGAATGCTTCTGTCTAGAGTTTATATGAAGCCATTCCCGTTTGCAACGAAATCCTCAAAGCTATCCAAATATCCTCTTGCAGATTTTACAAAAAGAGTGTTTCAAAACTGCTCTATCAAAAGAAAGGTTCAACTCTGTTAGTTGAGGGCACACATCACAAATAAACTTCTGAGAATGCTTCTGTCTAGTTTTTACGGGAAGATATTTCCTTTCTCACCATACGCCTGAAAGCGCTCCAAATGTCCTCATCCAGATACTACAAAAAGAGTGTTTCCAACCTGCTCTATGAAAGGGAATGCTCAACTCTGTGAATTGAATGCAGACATCACAAAGAAGTTTCTGAGAATGCTGCTGTCTCCTTTGTATATGTAATCCCGTTTCCAACGAAATCCTCAAAGCTAGCCAAATATCCACTTGCAGATTCCACGAAAACAGTGTTTCAAAACTGCTCCTTCAAAACGATGGTTCAATCCTGTTAGTTGAGCAAACACATCACAAATAAGTTTCTGAGAATGCTTCCGTCTAGTTTTTATGGGAAGATATTTCCTTTTTCAACATAGGCCTGAAAGCGCTCCAAATGTCCACTTCCAGATACTACAAAAAGAGTGTTTCAAATCTGCTCTATGAATGGGAATGTTCTACTCTGTGACTTGAATGCAACATCCCAAAGAAGTTTCTGAGAATGCTTCTGTCTAGAGTTTATCTGAAGACATACCCGTTTCCAACGAAATCCTCCAAGCTATCCAAATATCCTCTTGCAGATTCTACAAAAAGAGTGTTTCAAAGCTGCTCTTTGCAAAGAAAGGTTCAACTCTGTCAGTAGAGGGGACACATCAAGAACAAGTTTCTGAGAATGCTTCTGTCTAGTTTTTATGGGAAGATATTTCCTTTTTCACGTTAGGCCTGAAAGCACGCCAAATGTTCACTTATAGACACTACAAAAAGAGTGTTTCAAACCTGCTCTGTGAAAGGGAATGTTCAACACTGTGACTTCAATTGAAACATCCCAAAGAAGTTTCTGAGAATGCTTCTGTCTAGAGTTTATCTGAAGACATTCCCGTTTCCCAAGAAATCTTCAAAGCTATCCAAATATCCTCTTGCAGATTCTACAAAAAGAGTGTTTCAAAACTGCTCTTTGCAAAGAAAGGTTCAACTCTGTCAGTAGAGGGCACACATCACAAACAAGTTTCTGAGAATGCTTCTGTCTAGTTTTTATGGGAAGATATTTCCTTTTTCACCTTAGGCCTGAAAGCAATCCATATGTTCACTTACAGACACTACAAAAAGAGTGTTTCAAACCTGCTCTGTGAAAGGGAGTGTTCAATTCTGTGACTTGAATGCAAACATCACAAAGTAGTTTCTGACAATGCTGCTGTCTGCTTTTTATACGTATTCCCGTTTCCAACGAAATCCTCCAAGCTGGCCTAATACCCACTTGCATATTCCACAAAAAGAGTGTTTCAAAACTGCTCTCTCAAAAGAAAGGTTCAACTCTGTTTGCTGAGTAGATACATCATGAAAAAAGTTCTGACATTGCTTCTATCTAGTTTTTATTGGAAGATATCTCCTTTTTCACCGTAGACCTGAAAGCGCTCCAAATGTCCACTTCCAGATAGTACAAAAAGAGTGTTTCAAACCTGCTCTATGAATGGGAATGTTCAACACTGGGACTTCAATTGAAACATCCCAAAGCAGTTTCTGAGAATGCTTCTGTGTAGAGTTTACATGAAGACATTCCCGTTTCCAACGAAATCCTCAAAGCTATCCAAATATCCTCTTGCAGATTTTACAAAAAGTGTGTTTCAGAACTGCTCTATCAAAACAAAGGTTCAACACTGTCAGTTGAGGGCACACATCACAAATAAGTTTCTGAGAATGCTGCTGTCTGCTTTTTGTATGTAATCCCGTTTCCAACGAAATCCTCCCAGCTAGCCAAATATCCACTTGCAGATTCCGCAAAAAGAGTGTTTCAAAACTGCTCCTTCAAAACGATGGTTTAGTTCTGTTAGTTGAGTACATACATCACAGATAAGTTTCTGAGAATGCTTCTGTCTAGTTTTTATGGGAGGATATTTCCTTTTTCAACACAAGCCTGAATGCGCTCCGAATGGACACTTCCAGATATGACAAAAGGCGTGTTTCAAACCTGCTCTCTCAAAGGGAATGTTCAACTCTGTGACTTCAATGCAAACATCACAAAGAAGTTTCTGAGAATGCTGCTGTCTGCTTTTTACATGTATTCCCGTTTCCAACGAAATCCTCAAAGCTGCCCTAATATCCACTTGCATATTCCACAAAAAGAGTGTTGCAAAACTGCTCTCTCAAAAGAAAGGTTCAACTCTGTTAGCTGAGTAGATCCATTACATAAAAGTTTCTGACGTTGCTTCTATCTAGATTTTCTTGGAAGATATTTCCATTTTCACCGTCGTCCTGAAAGCGCTCCAAATGTCCACTTCCAGGGAATGCAGAAAGAGTGTTTCCAACCTGCTCTATAAAAGGGAATGTTCAACACTGGGACTTCAATCGAAACATCCCAACGAAGTTTCTGAGAATGCTTCTGTCTAGAGTTTATATGAAGCCATTCCCGTTTGCAATGAAATCCTCAAAGCTATCCAAATATCCTCTTGCAGATTTTACAAAAAGAGTGTTTCAAAACTGCTCTATCAAAAGAAAGGTTCAACTCTGTTAGTTGAGGGCACACATCACAAATAAATTTCTGAGAATGCTTCTGTCTAGTTTTTACGGGAAGATATTTCCTTTTTCACCATACGCCTGAAAGCGCTCCAAATGTCCTCATCCAGATACTACAAAAAGAGTGTTTCCAACCTGCTCTATGAAAGGGAATGCTCAACTCTGTGAATTGAATGCAGACATCACAAAGAAGTTTCTGAGAATGCTGCTGTCTCCTTTTTATATGTAATCCCGTTTCCAACGAAATCCTCAAAGCTAGCCAAATATCCACTTGCAGATTCCACGAAAACAGTGTTTCAAAACTGCTCCTTCAAAACGATGGTTCAATTCTGTTAGTTGAGCAAACACATCACAAGTAAGTTTCTGAGAATGCTTCCGTCTAGTTTTTATGGGAAGATATTTCCTTTTTCAACATACGCCTGAAAGCGCTCCAAATGTCCACTTCCAGATACTACAAAAAGAGTGTTTCAAATCTGCTCTATGAATGGGAATGTTCTACTCTGTGACTTGAATGCAACATCCCAAAGAAGTTTCTGAGAATGCTTCTGTCTAGAGTTTATCTGAAGACATACCCGTTTCCAACGAAATCCTCCAAGCTATCCAAATATCCTCTTGCAGATTCTACAAAAAGAGTGTTTCAAAGCTGCTCTTTGCAAAGAAAGGTTCAACTCTGTCAGTAGAGGGGACACATCAAGAACAAGTTTCTGAGAATGCTTCTGTCTGGTTTTTATGGGAAGATATTTCCTTTTTCACGTTACGCCTGAAAGCACGCCAAATGTTCACTTATAGACACTACAAAAAGAGTGTTTCAAACCTGCTCTGTGAAAGGGAATGTTCAACACTGTGACTTCAATTGAAACATCCCAAAGAAGTTTCTGAGAATGCTTCTGTCTAGAGTTTATCTGAAGACATTCCCGTTTCCCAAGAAATCCTCAAAGCTATCCAAATATCCTCTTGCAGATTCTACAAAAAGAGTGTTTCAAAACTGCTCTTTGCAAAGAAAGGTTCAACTCTGTCAGTAGAGGGCACACATCACAAACAAGTTTCTGAGAATGCTTCTGTCTAGTTTTTATGGGAAGATATTTCCTTTTTCACCTTAGGCCTGAAAGCAATCCAAATGTTCACTTACAGACACTACAAAAAGAGTGTTTCAAACCTGCTCTGTGAAAGGGAGTGTTCAATTCTGTGACTTGAATGCAAACATCACAAAGTAGTTTCTGACAATGCTGCTGTCTGCTTTTTATACGTATTCCCGTTTCCAACGAAATCCTCCAAGCTGGCCTAATACCCTCTTGCATATTCCACAAAAAGAGTGTTTCAAAACTGCTCTCTCAAAAGAAAGGTTCAACTCTGTTAGCTGAGTAGATACATCATGAAAAAAGTTCTGACATTGCTTCTATCTAGTTTTTATTGGAAGATATCTCCTTTTTCACCGTAGACCTGAAAGCGCTCCAAATGTCCACTTCCAGATAGTACAAAAAGAGTGTTTCAAACCTGCTCTATGAAAGGGAATGTTCAACACTGGGACTTCAATTGAAACATCCCAAAGCAGTTTCTGAGAATGCTTCTGTCTAGAGTTTACATGAAGACATTCCCGTTTCCAACGAAATCCTCAAAGCTATCCAAATATCCTCTTGCAGATTTTACAAAAAGTGTGTTTCAGAACTGCTCTATCAAAACAAAGGTTCAACACTGTCAGTTGAGGGCACACATCACAAATAAGTTTCTGAGAATGCTGCTGTCTGCTTTTTGTATGTAATCCCGTTTCCAACGAAATCCTCCCAGCTAGCCAAATATCCACTTGCAGATTCCGCAAAAAGAGTGTTTCAAAACTGCTCCTTCAAAACGATGGTTTAGTTCTGTTAGTTGAGTACATACATCACAGATAAGTTTCTGAGAATGCTTCTGTCTAGTTTTTATGGGAGGATATTTCCTTTTTCAACACAAGCCTGAATGCGCTCCGAATGGACACTTCCAGATATGACAAAAGGCGTGTTTCAAACCTGCTCTCTCAAAGGGAATGTTCAACTCTGTGACTTCAATGCAAACATCACAAAGAAGTTTCTGAGAATGCTGCTGTCTGCTTTTTACATGTATTCCCGTTTCCAACGAAATCCTCAAAGCTGCCCTAATATCCACTTGCATATTCCACAAAAAGAGTGTTGCAAAACTGCTCTCTCAAAAGAAAGGTTCAACTCTGTTAGCTGAGTAGATCCATCACATAAAAGTTTCTGACATTGCTTCTATCTAGATTTTCTTGGAAGATATTTCCATTTTCACCGTCGTCCTGAAAGCGCTCCAAATGTCCACTTCCAGGGAATGCAGAAAGAGTGTTTCCAACCTGCTCTATAAAAGGGAATGTTCAACACTGGGACTTCAATCGAAACATCCCAACGAAGTTTCTGAGAATGCTTCTGTCTAGAGTTTATATGAAGCCATTCCCGTTTGCAACGAAATCCTCAAAGCTATCCAAATATCCTCTTGCAGATTTTACAAAAAGAGTGTTTCAAAACTGCTCTATCAAAAGAAAGGTTCAACTCTGTTAGTTGAGGGCACACATCACAAATAAACTTCTGAGAATGCTTCTGTCTAGTTTTCATGGGAAGATATTTCCTTTTTCACCATAGGCCTGAAAGCGATCCAAATGTCCACATCCAGATACTACAAAAAGAGTGTTTCAAACCTGCTCTATGAAAGGGAATGTTCAACTCTGTGACTTGAATGCAAACATCACAAAGAAGTTTCTGAGAATGCTTGCTGTCTCCTTTTTATATGTAATCCCGTTTCCAACGAAATCCTCAAAGCTAGCCAAATATCCACTTGCAGATTCCATGAAAACAGTGTTTCAAAACTGCTCCTTCAAAACGATGGTTCAATCCTGTTAGTTGAGCAAACACATCACAAATAAGTTTCTGAGAATGCTTCCGTCTAGTTTTTATGGGAAGATATTTCCTTTTTCAACATAGGCCTGAAAGCGCTCCAAATGTCCACTTCCAGATACTACAAAAAGAGTGTTTCAAATCTGCTCTATGAATGGGAATGTTCTACTCTGTGACTTGAATGCAACATCCCAAAGAAGTTTCTGAGAATGCTTCTGTCTAGAGTTTATCTGAAGACATACCCGTTTCCAACGAAATCCTCAAAGCTATCCAAATATCCTCTTGCAGATTCTACAAAAAGAGTGTTTCAAAGCTGCTCTTTGCAAAGAAAGGTTCAACTCTGTCAGTAGAGGGCACACATCACGAACAAGTTTCTGAGAATGCTTCTGTCTAGTTTTTATGGGAAGATATTTCCTTTTTCACGTTAGGCCTGAAAGCACGCCAAATGTTCACTTATAGACACTACAAAAAGAGTGTTTCAAACCTGCTCTGTGAAAGGGAATGTTCAACACTGTGACTTCAATTGAAACATCCCAAAGAAGTTTCTGAGAATGCTTCTGTCTAGAGTTTATCTGAAGACATTCCCGTTTCCCAAGAAATCCTCAAAGCTATCCAAATATCCTCTTGCAGATTCTACAAAAAGAGTGTTTCAAAACTGCTCTTTGCAAAGAAAGGTTCAACTCTGTCAGTAGAGGGCACACATCACAAACAAGTTTCTGAGAATGCTTCTGTCTAGTTTTTATGGGAAGATATTTCCTTTTTCACCTTAGGCCTGAAAGCAATCCATATGTTCACTTACAGACACTACAAAAAGAGTGTTTCAAACCTGCTCTGTGAAAGGGAGTGTTCAATTCTGTGACTTGAATGCAAACATCACAAAGTAGTTTCTGACAATGCTGCTGTCTGCTTTTTATACGTATTCCCGTTTCCAACGAAATCCTCCAAGCTGGCCTAATACCCACTTGCATATTCCACAAAAAGAGTGTTTCAAAACTGCTCTCTCAAAAGAAAGGTTCAACTCTGTTTGCTGAGTAGATACATCATGAAAAAAGTTCTGACATTGCTTCTATCTAGTTTTTATTGGAAGATATCTCCTTTTTCACCGTAGACCTGAAAGCGCTCCGAATGTCCACTTCCAGATAGTACAAAAAGAGTGTTTCAAACCTGCTCTATGAAAGGGAATGTTCAACACTGGGACTTCAATTGAAACATCCCAAAGCAGTTTCTGAGAATGCTTCTGTGTAGAGTTTACATGAAGACATTCCCGTTTCCAACGAAATCCTCAAAGCTATCCAAATATCCTCTTGCAGATTTTACAAAAAGTGTGTTTCAGAACTGCTCTATCAAAACAAAGGTTCAACACTGTCAGTTGAGGGCACACATCACAAATAAGTTTCTGAGAATGCTGCTGTCTGCTTTTTGTATGTAATCCCGTTTCCAACGAAATCCTCCCAGCTAGCCAAATATCCACTTGCAGATTCCGCAAAAAGAGTGTTTCAAAACTGCTCCTTCAAAACGATGGTTTAGTTCTGTTAGTTGAGTACATACATCACAGATAAGTTTCTGAGAATGCTTCTGTCTAGTTTTTCTGGGAGGATATTTCCTTTTTCAACACAAGCCTGAATGCGCTCCGAATGGACACTTCCAGATATGACAAAAGGCGTGTTTCAAACCTGCTCTCTCAAAGGGAATGTTCAACTCTGTGACTTCAATGCAAACATCACAAAGAAGTTTCTGAGAATGCTGCTGTCTGCTTTTTACATGTATTCCCGTTTCCAACGAAATCCTCAAAGCTGCCCTAATATCCACTTGCATATTCCACAAAAAGAGTGTTGCAAAACTGCTCTCTCAAAAGAAAGGTTCAACTCTGTTAGCTGAGTAGATCCATCACATAAAAGTTTCTGACATTGCTTCTATCTAGATTTTCTTGGAAGATATTTCCATTTTCACCGTCGTCCTGAAAGCGCTCCAAATGTCCACTTCCAGGGAATGCAGAAAGAGTGTTTCCAACCTGCTCTATAAAAGGGAATGTTCAACACTGGGACTTCAATCGAAACATCCCAACGAAGTTTCTGAGAATGCTTCTGTCTAGAGTTTATATGAAGCCATTCCCGTTTGCAACGAAATCCTCAAAGCTATCCAAATATCCTCTTGCAGATTTTACAAAAAGAGTGTTTCAAAACTGCTCTATCAAAAGAAAGGTTCAACTCTGTTAGTTGAGGGCACACATCACAAATAAACTTCTGAGAATGCTTCTGTCTAGTTTTTACGGGAAGATATTTCCTTTTTCACCATACGCCTGAAAGCGCTCCAAATGTCCTCATCCAGATACTACAAAAAGAGTGTTTCCAACCTGCTCTATGAAAGGGAATGCTCAACTGCTGTGAATTGAATGCAGACATCACAAAGAAGTTTCTGAGAATGCTGCTGTCTCCTTTTTATATGTAATCCCGTTTCCAACGAAATCCTCAAAGCTAGCCAAATATCCACTTGCAGATTCCACGAAAACAGTGTTTCAAAACTGCTCCTTCAAAACGATGGTTCAATTCTGTTAGTTGAGCAAACACATCACAAGTAAGTTTCTGAGAATGCTTCCGTCTAGTTTTTATGGGAAGATATTTCCTTTTTCAACATAGGCCTGAAAGCGCTCCAAATGTCCACTTCCAGATACTACAAAAAGAGTGTTTCAAATCTGCTCTATGAATGGGAATGTTCTACTCTGTGACTTGAATGCAACATCCCAAAGAAGTTTCTGAGAATGCTTCTGTCTAGAGTTTATCTGAAGACATACCCGTTTCCAACGAAATCCTCAAAGCTATCCAAATATCCTCTTGCAGATTCTACAAAAAGAGTGTTTCAAAGCTGCTCTTTGCAAAGAAAGGTTCAACTCTGTCAGTAGAGGGCACACATCACGAACAAGTTTCTGAGAATGCTTCTGTCTAGTTTTTATGGGAAGATATTTCCTTTTTCACGTTAGGCCTGAAAGCACGCCAAATGTTCACTTATAGACACTACAAAAAGAGTGTTTCAAACCTGCTCTGTGAAAGGGAATGTTCAACACTGTGACTTCAATTGAAACATCCCAAAGAAGTTTCTGAGAATGCTTCTGTCTAGAGTTTATCTGAAGACATTCCCGTTTCCCAAGAAATCCTCAAAGCTATCCAAATATCCTCTTGCAGATTCTACAAAAAGAGTGTTTCAAAACTGCTCTTTGCAAAGAAAGGTTCAACTCTGTCAGTAGAGGGCACACATCACAAACAAGTTTCTGAGAATGCTTCTGTCTAGTTTTTATGGGAAGATATTTCCTTTTTCACCTTAGGCCTGAAAGCAATCCATATGTTCACTTACAGACACTACAAAAAGAGTGTTTCAAACCTGCTCTGTGAAAGGGAGTGTTCAATTCTGTGACTTGAATGCAAACATCACAAAGTAGTTTCTGACAATGCTGCTGTCTGCTTTTTATACGTATTCCCGTTTCCAACGAAATCCTCCAAGCTGGCCTAATACCCACTTTCATATTCCACAAAAAGAGTGTTTCAAAACTGCTCTCTCAAAAGAAAGGTTCAACTCTGTTTGCTGAGTAGATACATCATGAAAAAAGTTCTGACATTGCTTCTATCTAGTTTTTATTGGAAGATATCTCCTTTTTCACCGTAGACCTGAAAGCGCTCCAAATGTCCACTTCCAGATAGTACAAAAAGAGTGTTTCAAACCTGCTCTATGAATGGGAATGTTCAACACTGGGACTTCAATTGAAACATCCCAAAGCAGTTTCTGAGAATGCTTCTGTGTAGAGTTTACATGAAGACATTCCCGTTTCCAACGAAATCCTCAAAGCTATCCAAATATCCTCTTGCAGATTTTACAAAAAGTGTGTTTCAGAACTGCTCTATCAAAACAAAGGTTCAACACTGTCAGTTGAGGGCACACATCACAAATAAGTTTCTGAGAATGCTGCTCTCTGCTTTTTGTATGTAATCCCGTTTCCAACGAAATCCTCCCAGCTAGCCAAATATCCACTTGCAGATTCCGCAAAAAGAGTGTTTCAAAACTGCTCCTTCAAAACGATGGTTTAGTTCTGTTAGTTGAGTACATACATCACAGATAAGTTTCTGAGAATGCTTCTGTCTAGTTTTTATGGGAGGATATTTCCTTTTTCAACACAAGCCTGAATGCGCTCCGAATGGACACTTCCAGATATGACAAAAGGCGTGTTTCAAACCTGCTCTCTCAAAGGGAATGTTCAACTCTGTGACTTCAATGCAAACATCACAAAGAAGTTTCTGAGAATGCTGCTGTCTGCTTTTTACATGTATTCCCGTTTCCAACGAAATCCTCAAAGCTGCCCTAATATCCACTTGCATATTCCACAAAAAGAGTGTTGCAAAACTGCTCTCTCAAAAGAAAGGTTCAACTCTGTTAGCTGAGTAGATCCATCACATAAAAGTTTCTGACATTGCTTCTATCTAGATTTTCTTGGAAGATATTTCCATTTTCACCGTCGTCCTGAAAGCGCTCCAAATGTCCACTTCCAGGGAAAGCAGAAAGAGTGTTTCCAACCTGCTCTATAAAAGGGAATGTTCAACACTGGGACTTCAATCGAAACATCCCAACGAAGTTTCTGAGAATGCTTCTGTCTAGAGTTTATATGAAGCCATTCCCGTTTGCAACGAAATCCTCAAAGCTATCCAAATATCCTCTTGCAGATTTTACAAAAAGAGTGTTTCAAAACTGCTCTATCAAAAGAAAGGTTCAACTCTGTTAGTTGAGGGCACACATCACAAATAAATTTCTGAGAATGCTTCTGTCTAGTTTTTACGGGAAGATATTTCCTTTTTCACCATACGCCTGAAAGCGCTCCAAATGTCCTCATCCAGATACTACAAAAAGAGTGTTTCCAACCTGCTCTATGAAAGGGAATGCTCAACTCTGTGAATTGAATGCAGACATCACAAAGAAGTTTCTGAGAATGCTGCTGTCTCCTTTTTATATGTAATCCCGTTTCCAACGAAATCCTCAAGCTAGCCAAATATCCACTTGCAGATTCCACGAAAACAGTGTTTCAAAACTGCTCCTTCAAAACGATGGTTCAATCCTGTTAGTTGAGCAAACACATCACAAATAAGTTTCTGAGAATGCTTCCGTCTAGTTTTTATGGGAAGATATTTCCTTTTTCAACATAGGCCTGAAAGCGCTCCAAATGTCCACTTCCAGATACTACAAAAAGAGTGTTTCAAATCTGCTCTATGAATGGGAATGTTCTACTCTGTGACTTGAATGCAACATCCCAAAGAAGTTTCTGAGAATGCTTCTGTCTAGAGTTTATCTGAAGACATACCCGTTTCCAACGAAATCCTCAAAGCTATCCAAATATCCTCTTGCAGATTCTACAAAAAGTGTGTTTCAAAGCTGCTCTTTGTAAAGAAAGGTTCAACTCTGTCAGTAGAGGGCACACATCACGAACAAGTTTCTGAGAATGCTTCTGTCTAGTTTTTATGGGAAGATATTTCCTTTTTCACGTTAGGCCTGAAAGCACGCCAAATGTTCACTTATAGACACTACAAAAAGAGTGTTTCAAACCTGCTCTGTGAAAGGGAATGTTCAACACTGTGACTTCAATTGAAACATCCCAAAGAAGTTTCTGAGAATGCTTCTGTCTAGAGTTTATCTGAAGACATTCCCGTTTCCCAAGAAATCCTCAAAGCTATCCAAATATCCTCTTGCAGATTCTACAAAAAGAGTGTTTCAAAACTGCTCTTTGCAAAGAAAGGTTCAACTCTGTCAGTAGAGGGCACACATCACAAACAAGTTTCTGAGAATGCTTCTGTCTAGTTTTTATGGGAAGATATTTCCTTTTTCACCTTAGGCCTGAAAGCAATCCAAATGTTCACTTACAGACACTACAAAAAGAGTGTTTCAAACCTGCTACTGTGAAAGGGAGTGTTCAATTCTGTGACTTGAATGCAAACATCACAAAGTAGTTTCTGACAATGCTGCTGTCTGCTTTTTATACGTATTCCCGTTTCCAACGAAATCCTCCAAGCTGGCCTAATACCCACTTGCATATTCCACAAAAAGAGTGTTTCAAAACTGCTCTCTCAAAAGAAAGGTTCAACTCTGTTTGCTGAGTAGATACATCATGAAAAAAGTTCTGACATTGCTTCTATCTAGTTTTTATTGGAAGATATCTCCTTTTTCACCGTAGACCTGAAAGCGCTCCAAATGTCCACTTCCAGATAGTACAAAAAGAGTGTTTCAAACCTGCTCTATGAAAGGGAATGTTCAACACTGGGACTTCAATTGAAACATCCCAAAGCAGTTTCTGAGAATGCTTCTGTCTAGAGTTTACATGAAGACATTCCCGTTTCCAACGAAATCCTCAAAGCTATCCAAATATCCTCTTGCAGATTTTACAAAAAGTGTGTTTCAGAACTGCTCTATCAAAACAAAGGTTCAACACTGTCAGTTGAGGGCACACATCACAAATAAGTTTCTGAGAATGCTGCTGTCTGCTTTTTGTATGTAATCCCGTTTCCAACGAAATCCTCCCAGCTAGCCAAATATCCACTTGCAGATTCCGCAAAAAGAGTGTTTCAAAACTGCTCCTTCAAAACGATGGTTTAGTTCTGTTAGTTGAGTACATACATCACAGATAAGTTTGCTGAGAATGCTTCTGTCTAGTTTTTATGGGAGGATATTTTCTTTTTCAACACAAGCCTGAATGCGCTCCGAATGGACACTTCCAGATATGACAAAAGGCGTGTTTCAAACCTGCTCCTCAAAGGGAATGTTCAACTCTGTGACTTCAATGCAAACATCACAAAGAAGTTTCTGAGAATGCTGCTGTCTGCTTTTTACATGTATTCCCGTTTCCAACGAAATCCTCAAAGCTGCCCTAATATCCACTTGCATATTCCACAAAAAGAGTGTTGCAAAACTGCTCTCTCAAAAGAAAGGTTCAACTCTGTTAGCTGAGTAGATCCATCACAGAAAAGTTTCTGACGTTGCTTCTATCTAGATTTTCTTGGAAGATATTTCCATTTTCACCGTCGTCCTGAAAGCGCTCCAAATGTCCACTTCCAGGGAATGCAGAAAGAGTGTTTCCAACCTGCTCTATAAAAGGGAATGTTCAACACTGGGACTTCAATCGAAACATCCCAACGAAGTTTCTGAGAATGCTTCTGTCTAGAGTTTATATGAAGCCATTCCCGTTTGCAATGAAATCCTCAAAGCTATCCAAATATCCTCTTGCAGATTTTACAAAAAGAGTGTTTCAAAACTGCTCTATCAAAAGAAAGGTTCAACTCTGTTAGTTGAGGGCACACATCACAAATAAATTTCTGAGAATGCTTCTGTCTAGTTTTCATGGGAAGATATTTCCTTTTTCACCATAGGCCTGAAAGCGATCCAAATGTCCACATCCAGATACTACAAAAAGAGTGTTTCAAACCTGCTCTATGAAAGGGAATGTTCAACTCTGTGACTTGAATGCAAACATCACAAAGAAGTTTCTGAGAATGCTGCTGTCTCCTTTTTATATGTAATCCCGTTTCCAACGAAATCCTCAAAGCTAGCCAAATATCCACTTGCAGATTCCACGAAAACAGTGTTTCAAAACTGCTCCTTCAAAACGATGGTTCAATTCTGTTAGTTGAGCAAACACATCACAAGTAAGTTTCTGAGAATGCTTCCGTCTAGTTTTTATGGGAAGATATTTCCTTTTTCAACATAGGCCTGAAAGCGCTCCAAATGTCCACTTCCAGATACTACAAAAAGAGTGTTTCAAATCTGCTCTATGAATGGGAATGTTCTACTCTGTGACTTGAATGCAACATCCCAAAGAAGTTTCTGAGAATGCTTCTGTCTAGAGTTTATCTGAAGACATACCCGTTTCCAACGAAATCCTCAAAGCTATCCAAATATCCTCTTGCAGATTCTACAAAAAGAGTGTTTCAAAGCTGCTCTTTGCAAAGAAAGGTTCAACTCTGTCAGTAGAGGGCACACATCATGAACAAGTTTCTGAGAATGCTTCTGTCTAGTTTTTATGGGAAGATATTTCCTTTTTCACGTTAGGCCTGAAAGCACGCCAAATGTTCACTTATAGACACTACAAAAAGAGTGTTTCAAACCTGCTCTGTGAAAGGGAATGTTCAACACTGTGACTTCAATTGAAACATCCCAAAGAAGTTTCTGAGAATGCTTCTGTCTAGAGTTTATCTGAAGACATTCCCGTTTCCCAAGAAATCCTCAAAGCTATCCAAATATCCTCTTGCAGATTCTACAAAAAGAGTGTTTCAAAACTGCTCTTTGCAAAGAAAGGTTCAACTCTGTCAGTAGAGGGCACACATCACAAACAAGTTTCTGAGAATGCTTCTGTCTAGTTTTTATGGGAAGATATTTCCTTTTTCACCTTAGGCCTGAAAGCAATCCAAATGTTCACTTACAGACACTACAAAAAGAGTGTTTCAAACCTGCTCTGTGAAAGGCAGTGTTCCATTCTGTGACTTGCATGCAAACATCACAAAGTAGTTTCTGACAATGCTGCTGTCTGCTTTTTATACGTATTCCCGTTTCCAAAGAAATCCTCCAAGCTGGCCTAATACCCACTTGCATATTCCACAAAAAGAGTGTTTCAAAACTGCTCTCTCAAAAGAAAGGTTCAACTCTGTTTGCTGAATAGATACATCATGAAAAAAGTTCTGACATTGCTTCTATCTAGTTTTTATTGGAAGATATCTCCTTTTTCACCGTAGACCTGAAAGCGCTCCAAATGTCCACTTCCAGATAGTACAAAAAGAGTGTTTCAAACCTGCTCTATGAATGGGAATGTTCAACACTGGGACTTCAATTGAAACATCCCAAAGCAGTTTCTGAGAATGCTTCTGTGTAGAGTTTACATGAAGACATTCCCGTTTCCAACGAAATCCTCAAAGCTATCCAAATATCCTCTTGCAGATTTTACAAAAAGTGTGTTTCAGAACTGCTCTATCAAAACAAAGGTTCAACACTGTCAGTTGAGGGCACACATCACAAATAAGTTTCTGAGAATGCTGCTGTCTGCTTTTTGTATGTAATCCCGTTTCCAACGAAATCCTCCCAGCTAGCCAAATATCCACTTGCAGATTCCGCAAAAAGAGTGTTTCAAAACTGCTCCTTCAAAACGATGGTTTAGTTCTGTTAGTTGAGTACATACATCACAGATAAGTTTCTGAGAATGCTTCTGTCTAGTTTTTATGGGAGGATATTTCCTTTTTCAACACAAGCCTGAATGCGCTCCGAATGGACACTTCCAGATATGACAAAAGGCGTGTTTCAAACCTGCTCTCTCAAAGGGAATGTTCAACTCTGTGACTTCAATGCAAACATCACAAAGAAGTTTCTGAGAATGCTGCTGTCTGCTTTTTACATGTATTCCCGTTTCCAACGAAATCCTCAAAGCTGCCCTAATATCCACTTGCATATTCCACAAAAAGAGTGTTGCAAAACTGCTCTCTCAAAAGAAAGGTTCAACTCTGTTAGCTGAGTAGATCCATCACAGAAAAGTTTCTGACGTTGCTTCTATCTAGATTTTCTTGGAAGATATTTCCATTTTCACCGTCGTCCTGAAAGCGCTCCAAATGTCCACTTCCAGGGAATGCAGAAAGAGTGTTTCCAACCTGCTCTATAAAAGGGAATGTTCAACACTGGGACTTCAATCGAAACATCCCAACGAAGTTTCTGAGAATGCTTCTGTCTAGAGTTTATATGAAGCCATTCCCGTTTGCAACGAAATCCTCAAAGCTATCCAAATATCCTCTTGCAGATTTTACAAAAAGAGTGTTTCAAAACTGCTCTATCAAAAGAAAGGTTCAACTCTGTTAGTTGAGGGCACACATCACAAATAAATTTCTGAGAATGCTTCTGTCTAGTTTTTACGGGAAGATATTTCCTTTTTCACCATACGCCTGAAAGCGCTCCAAATGTCCTCATCCAGATACTACAAAAAGAGTGTTTCCAACCTGCTCTATGAAAGGGAATGCTCAACTCTGTGAATTGAATGCAGACATCACAAAGAAGTTTCTGAGAATGCTGCTGTCTCCTTTTTATATGTAATCCCGTTTCCAACGAAATCCTCAAAGCTAGCCAAATATCCACTTGCAGATTCCACGAAAACAGTGTTTCAAAACTGCTCCTTCAAAACGATGGTTCAATTCTGTTAGTTGAGCAAACACATCACAAGTAAGTTTCTGAGAATGCTTCCGTCTAGTTTTTATGGGAAGATATTTCCTTTTTCAACATAGGCCTGAAAGCGCTCCAAATGTCCACTTCCAGATACTACAAAAAGAGTGTTTCAAATCTGCTCTATGAATGGGAATGTTCTACTCTGTGACTTGAATGCAACATCCCAAAGAAGTTTCTGAGAATGCTTCTGTCTAGAGTTTATCTGAAGACATACCCGTTTCCAACGAAATCCTCAAAGCTATTAAAATATCCTCTTGCAGATTCTACAAAAAGTGTGTTTCAAAGCTGCTCTTTGCAAAGAAAGGTTCAACTCTGTCAGTAGAGGGCACACATCACGAACAAGTTTCTGAGAATGCTTCTGTCTGGTTTTTATGGGAAGATATTTCCTTTTTCACGTTACGCCTGAAAGCACGCCAAATGTTCACTTATAGACACTACAAAAAGAGTGTTTCAAACCTGCTCTGTGAAAGGGAATGTTCAACACTGTGACTTCAATTGAAACATCCCAAAGAAGTTTCTGAGAATGCTTCTGTCTAGAGTTTATCTGAAGACATTCCCGTTTCCCAAGAAATCTTCAAAGCTATCCAAATATCCTCTTGCAGATTCTACAAAAAGAGTGTTTCAAAACTGCTCTTTGCAAAGAAAGGTTCAACTCTGTCAGTAGAGGGCACACATCACAAACAAGTTTCTGAGAATGCTTCTGTCTAGTTTTTATGGGAAGATATTTCCTTTTTCACCTTAGGCCTGAAATCAATCCAAATGTTCACTTACAGACACTACAAAAAGAGTGTTTCAAACCTGCTCTGTGAAAGGGAGTGTTCAATTCTGTGACTTGAATGCAAACATCACAAAGTAGTTTCTGACAATGCTGCTGTCTGCTTTTTATACGTATTCCCGTTTCCAACGAAATCCTCCAAGCTGGCCTAATACCCACTTGCATATTCCACAAAAAGAGTGTTTCAAAACTGCTCTCTCAAAAGAAAGGTTCAACTCTGTTTGCTGAGTAGATACATCATGAAAAAAGTTCTGACATTGCTTCTATCTAGTTTTTATTGGAAGATATCTCCTTTTTCACCGTAGACCTGAAAGCGCTCCAAATGTCCACTTCCAGATAGTACAAAAAGAGTGCTTCAAACCTGCTCTATGAATGGGAATGTTCAACACTGGGACTTCAATTGAAACATCCCAAAGCAGTTTCTGAGAATGCTTCTGTGTAGAGTTTACATGAAGACATTCCCGTTTCCAACGAAATCCTCAAAGCTATCCAAATATCCTCTTGCAGATTTTACAAAAAGTGTGTTTCAGAACTGCTCTATCAAAACAAAGGTTCAACACTGTCAGTTGAGGGCACACATCACAAATAAGTTTCTGAGAATGCTGCTGTCTGCTTTTTGTATGTAATCCCGTTTCCAACGAAATCCTCCAAGCTAGCCAAATATCCAGTTGCAGATTCCGCAAAAAGAGTGTTTCAAAACTGCTCCTTCAAAACGATGGTTTAGTTCTGTTAGTTGAGTACATACATCACAAATAAGTTTCTGAGAATGCTTCTGTCTAGTTTTTATGGGAGGATATTTCCTTTTTCAACACAAGCCTGAATGCGCTCCGAATGGACACCTCCAGATATGACAAAAGGCGTGTTTCAAACCTGCTCTCTCAAAGGGAATGTTCAACTCTGTGACTTCAATGCAAACATCACAAAGAAGTTTCTGAGAATGCTGCTGTCTGCTTTTTACATGTATTCCCGTTTCCAACGAAATCCTCAAAGCTGCCCTAATATCCACTTGCATATTCCACAAAAAGAGTGTTGCAAAACTGCTCTCTCAAAAGAAAGGTTCAACTCTGTTAGCTGAGTAGATCCATCACATAAAAGTTTCTGACGTTGCTTCTATCTAGATTTTCTTGGAAGATATTTCCATTTTCACCGTCGTCCTGAAAGCGCTCCAAATGTCCACTTCCAGGGAATGCAGAAAGAGTGTTTCCAACCTGCTCTATAAAAGGGAATGTTCAACACTGGGACTTCAATCGAAACATCCCAACGAAGTTTCTGAGAATGCTTCTGTCTAGAGTTTATATGAAGCCATTCCCGTTTGCAACGAAATCCTCAAAGCTATCCAAATATCCTCTTGCAGATTTTACAAAAAGAGTGTTTCAAAACTGCTCTATCAAAAGAAAGGTTCAACTCTGTTAGTTGAGGGCACACATCACAAATAAACTTCTGAGAATGCTTCTGTCTAGTTTTTACGGGAAGATATTTCCTTTTTCACCATAGGCCTGAAAGCGCTCCAAATGTCCTCATCCAGATACTACAAAAAGAGTGTTTCCAACCTGCTCTATGAAAGGGAATGCTCAACTCTGTGAATTGAATGCAGACATCACAAAGAAGTTTCTGAGAATGCTGCTGTCTCCTTTGTATATGTAATCCCGTTTCCAACGAAATCCTCAAAGCTAGCCAAATATCCACTTGCAGATTCCACGAAAACAGTGTTTCAAAACTGCTCCTTCAAAACGATGGTTCAATCCTGTTAGTTGAGCAAACACATCACAAATAAGTTTCTGAGAATGCTTCCGTCTAGTTTTTATGGGAAGATATTTCCTTTTTCAACATAGGCCTGAAAGCGCTCCAAATGTCCACTTCCAGATACTACAAAAAGAGTGTTTCAAATCTGCTCTATGAATGGGAATGTTCTACTCTGTGACTTGAATGCAACATCCCAAAGAAGTTTCTGAGAATGCTTCTGTCTAGAGTTTATCTGAAGACATACCCGTTTCCAACGAAATCCTCAAAGCTATCCAAATATCCTCTTGCAGATTCTACAAAAAGAGTGTTTCAAAGCTGCTCTTTGCAAAGAAAGGTTCAACTCTGTCAGTAGAGGGCACACATCACGAACAAGTTTCTGAGAATGCTTCTGTCTAGTTTTTATGGGAAGATATTTCCTTTTTCACGTTAGGCCTGAAAGCACGCCAAATGTTCACTTATAGACACTACAAAAAGAGTGTTTCAAACCTGCTCTGTGAAAGGGAATGTTCAACACTGTGACTTCAATTGAAACATCCCAAAGAAGTTTCTGAGAATGCTTCTGTCTAGAGTTTATCTGAAGACATTCCCGTTTCCCAAGAAATCCTCAAATCTATCCAAATATCCTCTTGCAGATTCTACAAAAAGTGGGTTTCAAAACTGCTCTTTGCAATGAAAGGTTCAACTCTGTCAGTAGAGGGCACACATCACACACAAGTTTCTGAGAATGCTACTGTCTAGTTTTTATGGGAAGATATTTCCTTTTTCACCTTAGGCCTGAAAGCAATCCAAATGTTCACTTACAGACACTACAAAAAGAGTGTTTCAAACCTGCTCTGTGAAAGGGAGTGTTCAATTCTGTGACTTGAATGCAAACATCACAAAGTAGTTTCTGACAATGCTGCTGTCTGCTTTTTATACGTATTCCCGTTTCCAACGAAATCCTCCAAGCTGGCCTAATACCCAATTGCATATTGCACAAAAAGAGTGTTTCAAAACTGCTCTCTCAAAAGAAAGGTTCAACTCTGTTGGCTGAGTAGATACATCATGATAAAGTTTCTGACATTGCTTCTATCTAGTTTTTATTGGAAGATATCTCCTTTTTCACCGTAGACCTGAAAGCGCTCCAAATGTCCACTTCCAGATAGTACAGAAAGAGAGTTTCAAACCTGCTCTATGAATGGGAATGTTCAACACTGGGACTTCAATCGAAACATCCCAACGAAGTTTCTGAGAATGCTTCTGTCCAGAGTTTACATGAAGACATTCCCGTTTCCAACGAAATCCTCAAAGCTATCCAAATATCCTCTTGCAGATTTTACAAAAAGTGTGTTTCAGAACTGCTCTATCAAAACAAAGGTTCAACACTGTCAGTTGAGGGCACACATCACAAATAAGTTTCTGAGAATGCTGCTGTCTGCTTTTTGTATGTAATCCCGTTTCCAACGAAATCCTCCCAGCTAGCCAAATATCCACTTGCAGATTCCGCAAAAAGAGTGTTTCAAAACTGCCCTTCAAAACGATGGTTTAGTTCTGTTAGTTGAGTACATACATCACAGATAAGTTTCTGAGAATGCTTCTGTCTAGTTTTTATGGGAGGATATTTCCTTTTTCAACACAAGCCTGAATGCGCTCCGAATGGACACTTCCAGATATGACAAAAGGCGTGTTTCAAACCTGCTCTCTCAAAGGGGATGTTCAACTCTGTGACTTCAATGCAAACATCACAAAGAAGTTTCTGAGAATGCTGCTGTCTGCTTTTTACATGTATTCCCGTTTCCAACGAAATCCTCAAAGCTGCCCTAATATCCACTTGCATATTCCACAAAAAGAGTGTTGCAAAACTGCTCTCTCAAAAGAAAGGTTCAACTCTGTTAGCTGAGTAGATCCATCACAGAAAAGTTTCTGACGTTGCTTCTATCTAGATTTTCTTGGAAGATATTTCCATTTTCACCGTCGTCCTGAAAGCGCTCCAAATGTCCACTTCCAGGGAATGCAGAAAGAGTGTTTCCAACCTGCTCTATAAAAGGGAATGTTCAACACTGGGACTTCAATCGAAACATCCCAACGAAGTTTCTGAGAATGCTTCTGTCTAGAGTTTATATGAAGCCATTCCCGTTTGCAACGAAATCCTCAAAGCTATCCAAATATCCTCTTGCAGATTTTACAAAAAGAGTGTTTCAAAACTGCTCTATCAAAAGAAAGGTTCAACTCTGTTAGTTGAGGGCACACATCACAAATAAACTTCTGAGAATGCTTCTGTCTAGTTTTTACGGGAAGATATTTCCTTTTTCACCATACGCCTGAAAGCGCTCCAAATGTCCTCATCCAGATACTACAAAAAGAGTGTTTCCAACCTTCTCTATGAAAGGGAATGCTCAACTCTGTGACTTGAATGCAGACATCACAAAGAAGTTTCTGAGAATGCTGCTGTCTCCTTTTTATATGTAATCCCGTTTCCAACGAAATCCTCAAAGCTAGCCAAATATCCACTTGCAGATTCCACGAAAACAGTGTTTCAAAACTGCTCCTTCAAAACGATGGTTCAATCCTGTTAGTTGAGCAAACACATCACAAATAAGTTTCTGAGAATGCTTCCGTGTAGTTTTTATGGGAAGATATTTCCTTTTTCAACATAGGCCTGAAAGCGCTCCAAATGTCCACTTCCAGATACTACAAAAAGAGTGTTTCAAATCTGCTCTATGAATGGGAATGTTCTACTCTGTGACTTGAATGCAACATCCCAAAGAAGTTTCTGAGAATGCTTCTGTCTAGAGTTTATCTGAAGACATACCCGTTTCCAACGAAATCCTCAAAGCTATCCAAATATCCTCTTGCAGATTCTACAAAAAGAGTGTTTCAAAGCTGCTCTTTGCAAAGAAAGGTTCAACTCTGTCAGTAGAGGGCACACATCACAAACAAGTTTCTGAGAATGCTTCTGTCTAGTTTTTATGGGAAGATATTTCCTTTTTCACGTTAGGCCTGAAAGCACGCCAAATGTTCACTTATAGACACTACAAAAAGAGTGTTTCAAACCTGCTCTGTGAAAGGGAATGTTCAACACTGTGACTTCAATTGAAACATCCCAAAGAAGTTTCTGAGAATGCTTCTGTCTAGAGTTTATCTGAAGACATTCCCGTTTCCCAAGAAATCCTCAAAGCTATCCAAATATCCTCTTGCAGATTCTACAAAAAGAGTGTTTCAAAACTGCTCTTTGCAAAGAAAGGTTCAACTCTGTCAGTAGAGGGCACACATCACAAACAAGTTTCTGAGAATGCTTCTGTCTAGTTTTTATGGGAAGATATTTCCTTTTTCACCTTAGGCCTGAAAGCAATCCAAATGTTCACTTACAGACACTACAAAAAGAGTGTTTCAAACCTGCTCTGTGAAAGGGAGTGTTCAGTTCTGTGACTTGAATGCAAACATCACAAAGTAGTTTCTGACAATGCTGCTGTCTGCTTTTTATACGTATTCCCGTTTCCAACGAAATCCTCCAAGCTGGCCTAATACCCACTTGCATATTCCACAAAAAGAGTGTTTCAAAACGGCTCTCTCAAAAGAAAGGTTCAACTCTGTTTGCTGAGTAGATACATCATGAAAAAAGTTCTGACATTGCTTCTATCTAGTTTTTATTGGAAGATATCTCCTTTTTCACCGTAGACCTGAAAGCGCTCCAAATGTCCACTTCCAGATAGTACAAAAAGAGTGTTTCAAACCTGCTCTATGAATGGGAATGTTCAACACTGGGACTTCAATTGAAACATCCCAAAGCAGTTTCTGAGAATGCTTCTGTGTAGAGTTTACATGAAGACATTCCCGTTTCCAACGAAATCCTCAAAGCTATCCAAATATCCTCTTGCAGATTTTACAAAAAGTGTGTTTCAGAACTGCTCTATCAAAACAAAGGTTCAACACTGTCAGTTGAGGGCACACATCACAAATAAGTTTCTGAGAATGCTGCTGTCTGCTTTTTGTATGTAATCCCGTTTCCAACGAAATCCTCCCAGCTAGCCAAATATCCACTTGCAGATTCCGCAAAAAGAGTGTTTCAAAACTGCTCCTTCAAAACGATGGTTTAGTTCGGTTAGTTGAGTACATACATCACAGATAAGTTTCTGAGAATGCTTCTGTCTAGTTTTTATGGGAGGATATTTCCTTTTTCAACACAAGCCTGAATGCGCTCCGAATGGACACTTCCAGATATGACAAAAGGCGTGTTGCAAACCTGCTCTCTCAAAGGGAATGTTCAACTCTGTGACTTCAATGCAAACATCACAAAGAAGTTTGCTGAGAATGCTGCTGTCTGCTTTTTACATGTATTCCCGTTTCCAACGAAATCCTCAAAGCTGCCCTAATATCCACTTGCATATTCCACAAAAAGAGTGTTGCAAAACTGCTCTCTCAAAAGAAAGGTTCAACTCTGTTAGCTGAGTAGATCCATCACATAAAAGTTTCTGACATTGCTTCTATCTAGATTTTCTTGGAAGATATTTCCATTTTCACCGTCGTCCTGAAAGCGCTCCAAATGTCCACTTCCAGGGAATGCAGAAAGAGTGTTTCCAACCTGCTCTATAAAAGGGAATGTTCAACACTGGGACTTCAATCGAAACATCCCAACGAAGTTTCTGAGAATGCTTCTGTCTAGAGTTTATATGAAGCCATTCCCGTTTGCAACGAAATCCTCAAAGCTATCCAAATATCCTCTTGCAGATTTTACAAAAAGAGTGTTTCAAAACTGCTCTATCAAAAGAAAGGTTCAACTCTGTTAGTTGAGGGCACACATCACAAATAAATTTCTGAGAATGCTTCTGTCTAGTTTTTACGGGAAGATATTTCCTTTTTCACCATACGCCTGAAAGCGCTCCAAATGTCCTCATCCAGATACTACAAAAAGAGTGTTTCCAACCTGCTCTATGAAAGGGAATGCTCAACTCTGTGACTTGAATGCAGACATCACAAAGAAGTTTCTGAGAATGCTGCTGTCTCCTTTTTATATGTAATCCCGTTTCCAACGAAATCCTCAAAGCTAGCCAAATATCCACTTGCAGATTCCACGAAAACAGTGTTTCAAAACTGCTCCTTCAAAACGATGGTTCAATTCTGTTAGTTGAGCAAACACATCACAAGTAAGTTTCTGAGAATGCTTCCGTCTAGTTTTTATGGGAAGATATTTCCTTTTTCAACATAGGCCTGAAAGCGCTCCAAATGTCCACTTCCAGATACTACAAAAAGAGTGTTTCAAATCTGCTCTATGAATGGGAATGTTCTACTCTGTGACTTGAATGCAACATCCCAAAGAAGTTTCTGAGAATGCTTCTGTCTAGAGTTTATCTGAAGACATACCCGTTTCCAACGAAATCCTCAAAGCTATCCACATATCCTCTTGCAGATTCTACAAAAAGAGTGTTTCAAAGCTGCTCTTTGCAAAGAAAGGTTCAACTCTGTCAGTAGAGGGCACACATCACGAACAAGTTTCTGAGAATGCTTCTGTCTAGTTTTTATGGGAAGATATTTCCTTTTTCACGTTAGGCCTGAAAGCACGCCAAATGTTCAATTATAGACACTACAAAAAGAGTGTTTCAAACCTGCTCTGTGAAAGGGAATGTTCAACACTGTGACTTCAATTGAAACATCCCAAAGAAGTTTCTGAGAATGCTTCTGTCTAGAGTTTATCTGAAGACATTCCCGTTTCCCAAGAAATCCTCAAAGCTATCCAAATATCCTCTTGCAGATTCTACAAAAAGAGTGTTTCAAAACTGGTCTTTGCAAAGAAAGGTTCAACTCTGTCAGTAGAGGGCACACATCACAAACAAGTTTCTGAGAATGCTTCTGTCTAGTTTTTATGGGAAGATATTTCCTTTTTCACCTTAGGCCTGAAAGCAATCCAAATGTTCACTTACAGACACTACAAAAAGAGTGTTTCAAACCTGCTCTGTGAAAGGGAGTGTTCAATTCTGTGACTTGAATGCAAACATCACAAAGTAGTTTCTGACAATGCTGCTGTCTGCTTTTTATACGTATTCCCGTTTCCAACGAAATCCTCCAAGCTGGCCTAATACCCACTTGCATATTCCACAAAAAGAGTGTTTCAAAACTGCTCTCTCAAAAGAAAGGTTCAACTCTGTTTGCTGAGTAGATACATCATGAAAAAAGTTCTGACATTGCTTCTATCTAGTTTTTATTGGAAGATATCTCCTTTTTCACCGTAGACCTGAAAGCGCTCCAAATGTCCACTTCCAGATAGTACAAAAAGAGTGTTTCAACCCTGCTCTATGAAAGGGAATGTTCAACACTGGGACTTCAATTGAAACATCCCAAAGCAGTTTCTGAGAATGCTTCTGTCTAGAGTTTACATGAAGACATTCCCGTTTCCAACGAAATCCTCAAAGCTATCCAAATATCCTCTTGCAGATTTTACAAAAAGTGTGTTTCAGAACTGCTCTATCAAAACAAAGGTTCAACACTGTCAGTTGAGGGCACACATCACAAATAAGTTTCTGAGAATGCTGCTGTCTGCTTTTTGTATGTAATCCCGTTTCCAACGAAATCCTCCCAGCTAGCCAAATATCCACTTGCAGATTCCGCAAAAAGAGTGTTTCAAAACTGCTCCTTCAAAACGATGGTTTAGTTGCTGTTAGTTGAGTACATACATCACAGATAAGTTTCTGAGAATGCTTCTGTCTAGTTTTTCTGGGAGGATATTTCCTTTTTCAACACAAGCCTGAATGCGCTCCGAATGGACACTTCCAGATATGACAAAAGGCGTGTTTCAAACCTGCTCTCTCAAAGGGAATGTTCAACTCTGTGACTTCAATGCAAACATCACAAAGAAGTTTCTGAGAATGCTGCTGTCTGCTTTTTACATGTATTCCCGTTTCCAACGAAATCCTCAAAGCTGCCCTAATATCCACTTGCATATTCCACAAAAAGAGTGTTGCAAAACTGCTCTCTCAAAAGAAAGGTTCAACTCTGTTAGCTGAGTAGATCCATCACAGAAAAGTTTCTGACGTTGCTTCTATCTAGATTTTCTTGGAAGATATTTCCATTTTCACCGTCGTCCTGAAAGCGCTCCAAATGTCCACTTCCAGGGAATGCAGAAAGAGTGTTTCCAACCTGCTCTATAAAAGGGAATGTTCAACACTGGGACTTCAATCGAAACATCCCAACGAAGTTTCTGAGAATGCTTCTGTCTAGAGTTTATATGAAGCCATTCCCGTTTGCAACGAAATCCTCAAAGCTATCCAAATATCCTCTTGCAGATTTTACAAAAAGAGTGTTTCAAAACTGCTCTATCAAAAGAAAGGTTCAACTCTGTTAGTTGAGGGCACACATCACAAATAAATTTCTGAGAATGCTTCTGTCTAGTTTTCATGGGAAGATATTTCCTTTTTCACCATAGGCCTGAAAGCGATCCAAATGTCCACATCCAGATACTACAAAAAGAGTGTTTCAAACCTGCTCTATGAAAGGGAATGTTCAACTCTGTGACTTGAATGCAAACATCACAAAGAAGTTTCTGAGAATGCTGCTGTCTCCTTTTTATATGTAATCCCGTTTCCAACGAAATCCTCAAAGCTAGCCAAATATCCACTTGCAGATTCCACGAAAACAGTGTTTCAAAACTGCTCCTTCAAAACGATGGTTCAATCCTGTTAGTTGAGCAAACACATCACAAATAAGTTTCTGAGAATGCTTCCGTCTAGTTTTTATGGGAAGATATTTCCTTTTTCAACATAGGCCTGAAAGCGCTCCAAATGTCCACTTCCAGATACTACAAAAAGAGTGTTTCAAATCTGCTCTATGAATGGGAATGTTCTACTCTGTGACTTGAATGCAACATCCCAAAGAAGTTTCTGAGAATGCTTCTGTCTAGAGTTTATCTGAAGACATACCCGTTTCCAACGAAATCCTCAAAGCTATCCAAATATCCTCTTGCAGATTCTACAAAAAGAGTGTTTCAAAGCTGCTCTTTGCAAAGAAAGGTTCAACTCTGTCAGTAGAGGGCACACATCACAAACAAGTTTCTGAGAATGCTTCTGTCTAGTTTTTATGGGAAGATATTTCCTTTTTCACGTTAGGCCTGAAAGCACGCCAAATGTTCACTTATAGACACTACAAAAAGAGTGTTTCAAACCTGCTCTGTGAAAGAGAATGTTCAACACTGTGACTTCAATTGAAACATCCCAAAGAAGTTTCTGAGAATGCTTCTGTCTAGAGTTTATCTGAAGACATTCCCGTTTCCCAAGAAATCCTCAAAGCTATCCAAATATCCTCTTGCAGATTCTACAAAAAGAGTGTTTCAAAACTGCTCTTTGCAAGGAAAGGTTCAACTCTGTCAGTAGAGGGCACACATCACAAACAAGTTTCTGAGAATGCTTCTGTCTAGTTTTTATGGGAAGATATTTCCTTTTTCACCTTAGGCCTGAAAGCAATCCAAATGTTCACTTACAGACACTACAAAAAGAGTGTTTCAAACCTGCTCTGTGAAAGGGAGTGTTCAATTCTGTGACTTGAATGCAAACATCACAAAGTAGTTTCTGACAATGCTGCTGTCTGCTTTTTATACAGTATTCCCGTTTCCAACGAAATCCTCCAAGCTGGCCTAATACCCACTTGCATATTCCACAAAAAGAGTGTTTCAAAACTGCTCTCTCAAAAGAAAGGTTCAACTCTGTTTGCTGAGTAGATACATCATGAAAAAAGTTCTGACATTGCTTCTATCTAGTTTTTATTGGAAGATATCTCCTTTTTCACCGTAGACCTGAAAGCGCTCCAAATGTCCACTTCCAGATAGCACAAAAAGAGTGTTTCAAACCTGCTCTATGAATGGGAATGTTCAACACTGGGACTTCAATTGAAACATCCCAAAGCAGTTTCTGAGAATGCTTCTGTCTAGAGTTTACATGAAGACATTCCCGTTTCCAACGAAATCCTCAAAGCTATCCAAATATCCTCTTGCAGATTTTACAAAAAGTGTGTTTCAGAACTGCTCTATCAAAACAAAGGTTCAACACTGTCAGTTGAGGGCACACATCACAAATAAGTTTCTGAGAATGCTGCTGTCTGCTTTTTGTATGTAATCCCGTTTCCAACGAAATCCTCCCAGCTAGCCAAATATCCACTTGCAGATTCCGCAAAAAGAGTGTTTCAAAACTGCTCCTTCAAAACGATGGTTTAGTTCTGTTAGTTGAGTACATACATCACAGATAAGTTTCTGAGAATGCTTCTGTCTAGTTTTTATGGGAGGATATTTCCTTTTTCAACACAAGCCTGAATGCGCTCCGAATGGACACTTCCAGATATGACAAAAGGCGTGTTTCAAACCTGCTCTCTCAAAGGGAATGTTCAACTCTGTGACTTCAATGCAAACATCACAAAGAAGTTTCTGAGAATGCTGCTGTCTGCTTTTTACATGTATTCCCGTTTCCAACGAAATCCTCAAAGCTGCCCTAATATCCACTTGCATATTCCACAAAAAGAGTGTTGCAAAACTGCTCTCTCAAAAGAAAGGTTCAACTCTGTTAGCTGAGTAGATCCATCACATAAAAGTTTCTGACATTGCTTCTCTATCTAGATTTTATTGGAAGATATTTCCATTTTCACCGTCGTCCTGAAAGCGCTCCAAATGTCCACTTCCAGGGAATGCAAAAAGAGTGTTTCCAACCTGCTCTGTAAAAGGGAATGTTCAACACTGGGACTTCAATCGAAACATCCCAACGAAGTTTCTGAGAATGCTTCTGTCTAGAGTTTATATGAAGCCATTCCCGTTTGCAATGAAATCCTCAAAGCTATCCAAATATCCTCTTGCAGATTTTACAAAAAGAGTGTTTCAAAACTGCTCTATCAAAAGAAAGGTTCAACTCTGTTAGTTGAGGGCACACATCACAAATAAATTTCTGAGAATGCTTCTGTCTAGTTTTCATGGGAAGATATTTCCTTTTTCACCATAGGCCTGAAAGCGATCCAAATGTCCACATCCAGATACTACAAAAAGAGTGTTTCAAACCTGCTCTATGAAAGGGAATGTTCAACTCTGTGACTTGAATGCCAACATCACAAAGAAGTTTCTGAGAATGCTGCTGTCTCCTTTTTATATGTAATCCCGTTTCCAACGAAATCCTCAAAGCTAGCCAAATATCCACTTGCAGATTCCACGAAAACAGTGTTTCAAAACTGCTCCTTCAAAACGATGGTTCAATCCTGTTAGTTGAGCAAACACATCACAAATAAGTTTCTGAGAATGCTTCCGTCTAGTTTTTATGGGAAGATATTTCCTTTTTCAACATAGGCCTGAAAGCGCTCCAAATGTCCACTTCCAGATACTACAAAAAGAGTGTTTCAAATCTGCTCTATGAATGGGAATGTTCTACTCTGTGACTTGAATGCAACATCCCAAAGAAGTTTCTGAGAATGCTTCTGTCTAGAGTTTATCTGAAGACATACCCGTTTCCAACGAAATCCTCCAAGCTATCCAAATATCCTCTTGCAGATTCTACAAAAAGAGTGTTTCAAAGCTGCTCTTTGCAAAGAAAGGTTCAACTCTGTCAGTAGAGGGCACACATCATGAACAAGTTTCTGAGAATGCTTCTGTCTAGTTTTTATGGGAAGATATTTCCTTTTTCACGTTAGGCCTGAAAGCACGCCAAATGTTCACTTATAGACACTACAAAAAGAGTGTTTCAAACCTGCTCTGTGAAAGGGAATGTTCAACACTGACTTCAATTGAAACATCCCAAAGAAGTTTCTGAGAATGCTTCTGTCTAGAGTTTATCTGAAGACATTCCCGTTTCCCAAGAAATCCTCAAAGCTATCCAAATATCCTCTTGCAGATTCTACAAAAGAGTGTTTCAAAACTGCTCTTTGCAAAGAAAGGTTCAACTCTGTCAGTAGAGGGCACACATCACAAACAAGTTTCTGAGAATGCTTCTGTCTAGTTTTTATGGGAAGATATTTCCTTTTTCACCTTAGGCCTGAAAGCAATCCAAATGTTCACTTACAGACACTACAAAAAGAGTGTTTCAAACCTGCTCTGTGAAAGGGAGTGTTCAATTCTGTGACTTGAATGCAAACATCACAAAGTAGTTTCTGACAATGCTGCTGTCTGCTTTTTATACGTATTCCCGTTTCCAACGAAATCCTCCAAGCTGGCCTAATACCCACTTGCATATTCCACAAAAAGAGTGTTTCAAAACTGCTCTCTCAAAAGAAAGGTTCAACTCTGTTAGCTGAGTAGATACATCATGAAAAAAGTTCTGACATTGCTTCTATCTAGTTTTTATTGGAAGATATCTCCTTTTTCACCGTAGACCTGAAAGCGCTCCAAATGTCCACTTCCAGATAGTACAAAAAGAGTGTTTCAAACCTGCTCTATGAATGGGAATGTTCAACACTGGGACTTCAATTGAAACATCCCAAAGCAGTTTCTGAGAATGCTTCTGTCTAGAGTTTACATGAAGACATTCCCGTTTCCAACGAAATCCTCAAAGCTATCCAAATATCCTCTTGCAGATTTTACAAAAAGTGTGTTTCAGAACTGCTCTATCAAAACAAAGGTTCAACACTGTCAGTTGAGGGCACACATCACAAATAAGTTTCTGAGAATGCTGCTGTCTGCTTTTTGTATGTAATCCCGTTTCCAACGAAATCCTCCCAGCTAGCCAAATATCCACTTGCAGATTCCGCAAAAAGAGTGTTTCAAAACTGCTCCTTCAAAACGATGGTTTAGTTGCTGTTAGTTGAGTACATACATCACAGATAAGTTTCTGAGAATGCTTCTGTCTAGTTTTTATGGGAGGATATTTCCTTTTTCAACACAAGCCTGAATGCGCTCCGAATGGACACTTCCAGATATGACAAAAGGCGTGTTGCAAACCTGCTCTCTCAAAGGGAATGTTCAACTCTGTGACTTCAATGCAAACATCACAAAGAAGTTTCTGAGAATGCTGCTGTCTGCTTTTTACATGTATTCCCGTTTCCAACGAAATCCTCAAAGCTGCCCTAATATCCACTTGCATATTCCACAAAAAGAGTGTTGCAAAACTGCTCTCTCAAAAGAAAGGTTCAACTCTGTTAGCTGAGTAGATCCATCACAGAAAAGTTTCTGACGTTGCTTCTATCTAGATTTTCTTGGAAGATATTTCCATTTTCACCGTCGTCCTGAAAGCGCTCCAAATGTCCACTTCCAGGGAATGCAGAAAGAGTGTTTCCAACCTGCTCTATAAAAGGGAATGTTCAACACTGGGACTTCAATCGAAACATCCCAACGAAGTTTCTGAGAATGCTTCTGTCTAGAGTTTACATGAAGACATTCCCGTTTCCAACGAAATCCTCAAAGCTATCCAAATATCCTCTTGCAGATTTTACAAAAAGAGTGTTTCAAAACTGCTCTATCAAAAGAAAGGTTCAACTCTGTTAGTTGAGGGCACACATCACAAATAAACTTCTGAGAATGCTTCTGTCTAGTTTTCATGGGAAGATATTTCCTTTTTCACCATAGGCCTGAAAGCGATCCAAATGTCCACATCCAGATACTACAAAAAGAGTGTTTCAAACCTGCTCTATGAAAGGGAATGTTCAACTCTGTGACTTGAATGCAAACATCACAAAGAAGTTTCTGAGAATGCTGCTGTCTCCTTTTTATATGTAATCCCGTTTCCAACGAAATCCTCAAAGCTAGCCAAATATCCACTTGCAGATTCCACGAAAACAGTGTTTCAAAACTGCTCCTTCAAAACGATGGTTCAATCCTGTTAGTTGAGCAAACACATCACAATTAAGTTTCTGAGAATGCTTCCGTCTAGTTTTTATGGGAAGATATTTCCTTTTTCAACATAGGCCTGAAAGCGCTCCAAATGTCCACTTCCAGATACTACAAAAAGAGTGTTTCAAATCTGCTCTATGAATGGGAATGTTCTACTCTGTGACTTGAATGCAACATCCCAAATAAGTTTCTGAGAATGCTTCTGTCTAGAGTTTATCTGAAGACATACCCGTTTCCAACGAAATCCTCCAAGCTATCCAAATATCCTCTTGCAGATTCTACAAAAAGAGTGTTTCAAAGCTGCTCTTTGCAAAGAAAGGTTCAACTCTGTCAGTAGAGGGGACACATCAAGAACAAGTTTCTGAGAATGCTTCTGTCTAGTTTTTATGGGAAGATATTTCCTTTTTCACGTTAGGCCTGAAAGCACGCCAAATGTTCACTTATAGACACTACAAAAAGAGTGTTTCAAACCTGCTCTGTGAAAGGGAATGTTCAACACTGTGACTTCAATTGAAACATCCCAAAGAAGTTTCTGAGAATGCTTCTGTCTAGAGTTTATCTGAAGACATTCCCGTTTCCCAAGAAATCCTCAAAGCTATCCAAATATCCTCTTGCAGATTCTACAAAAAGAGTGTTTCAAAACTGGTCTTTGCAAAGAAAGGTTCAACTCTGTCAGTAGAGGGCACACATCACAAACAAGTTTCTGAGAATGCTTCTGTCTAGTTTTTATGGGAAGATATTTCCTTTTTCACCTTAGGCCTGAAAGCAATCCAAATGTTCACTTACAGACACTACAAAAAGAGTGTTTCAAACCTGCCCTGTGAAAGGGAGTGTTCAATTCTGTGACTTGAATGCAAACATCACAAAGTAGTTTCTGACAATGCTGCTGTCTGCTTTTTATACGTATTCCCGTTTCCAACGAAATCCTCCAAGCTGGCCTAATACCCACTTGCATATTCCACAAAAAGAGTGTTTCAAAACTGCTCTCTCAAAAGAAAGGTTCAACTCTGTTTGCTGAGTAGATACATCATGAAAAAAGTTCTGACATTGCTTCTATCTAGTTTTTATTGGAAGATATCTCCTTTTTCACCGTAGACCTGAAAGCGCTCCAAATGTCCACTTCCAGATAGTACAAAAAGAGTGTTTCAAACCTGCTCTATGAATGGGAATGTTCAACACTGGGACTTCAATTGAAACATCCCAAAGCAGTTTCTGAGAATGCTTCTGTCTAGAGTTTACATGAAGACATTCCCGTTTCCAACGAAATCCTCAAAGCTATCCAAATATCCTCTTGCAGATTTTACAAAAAGTGTGTTTCAGAACTGCTCTATCAAAACAAAGGTTCAGCACTGTCAGTTGAGGGCACACATCACAAATAAGTTTCTGAGAATGCTGCTGTCTGCTTTTTGTATGTAATCCCGTTTCCAACGAAATCCTCCCAGCTAGCCAAATATCCACTTGCAGATTCCGCAAAAAGAGTGTTTCAAAACTGCTCCTTCAAAACGATGGTTTAGTTCTGTTAGTTGAGTACATACATCACAGATAAGTTTCTGAGAATGCTTCTGTCTAGTTTTTATGGGAGGATATTTCCTTTTTCAACACAAGCCTGAATGCGCTCCGAATGGACACTTCCAGATATGACAAAAGGCGTGTTTCAAACCTGCTCTCTCAAAGGGAATGTTCAACTCTGTGACTTCAATGCAAACATCACAAAGAAGTTTCTGAGAATGCTGCTGTCTGCTTTTTACATGTATTCCCGTTTCCAACGAAATCCTCAAAGCTGCCCTAATATCCACTTGCATATTCCACAAAAAGAGTGTTGCAAAACTGCTCTCTCAAAAGAAAGGTTCAACTCTGTTAGCTGAGTAGATCCATCACAGAAAAGTTTCTGACGTTGCTTCTATCTAGATTTTCTTGGAAGATATTTCCATTTTCACCGTCGTCCTGAAAGCGCTCCAAATGTCCACTTCCAGGGAATGCAGAAAGAGTGTTTCCAACCTGCTCTATAAAAGGGAATGTTCAACACTGGGACTTCAATCGAAACATCCCAACGAAGTTTCTGAGAATGCTTCTGTCTAGAGTTTATATGAAGCCATTCCCGTTTGCAACGAAATCCTCAAAGCTATCCAAATATCCTCTTGCAGATTTTACAAAAAGAGTGTTTCAAAACTGCTCTATCAAAAGAAAGGTTCAACTCTGTTAGTTGAGGGCACACATCACAAATAAATTTCTGAGAATGCTTCTGTCTAGTTTTCATGGGAAGATATTTCCTTTTTCACCATAGGCCTGAAAGCGATCCAAATGTCCACATCCAGATACTACAAAAAGAGTGTTTCAAACCTGCTCTATGAAAGGGAATGTTCAACTCTGTGACTTGAATGCAAACATCACAAAGAAGTTTCTGAGAATGCTGCTGTCTCCTTTTTATATGTAATCCCGTTTCCAACGAAATCCTCAAAGCTAGCCAAATATCCACTTGCAGATTCCACGAAAACAGTGTTTCAAAACTGCTCCTTCAAAACGATGGTTCAATCCTGTTAGTTGAGCAAACACATCACAAATAAGTTTCTGAGAATGCTTCCGTCTAGTTTTTATGGGAAGATATTTCCTTTTTCAGCATAGGCCTGAAAGCGCTCCAAATGTCCACTTCCAGATACTACAAAAAGAGTGTTTCAAATCTGCTCTATGAATGGGAATGTTCTACTCTGTGACTTGAATGCAACATCCCAAAGAAGTTTCTGAGAATGCTTCTGTCTAGAGTTTATCTGAAGACATACCCGTTTCCAACGAAATCCTCCAAGCTATCCAAATATCCTCTTGCAGATTCTACAAAAAGAGTGTTTCAAAGCTGCTCTTTGCAAAGAAAGGTTCAACTCTGTCAGTAGAGGGCACACATCACGAACAAGTTTCTGAGAATGCTTCTGTCTAGTTTTTATGGGAAGATATTTCCTTTTTCACGTTAGGCCTGAAAGCACGCCAAATGTTCACTTATAGACACTACAAAAAGAGTGTTTCAAACCTGCTCTGTGAAAGGGAATGTTCAACACTGTGACTTCAATTGAAACATCCCAAAGAAGTTTCTGAGAATGCTTCTGTCTAGAGTTTATCTGAAGACATTCCCGTTTCCCAAGAAATCCTCAAAGCTATCCAAATATCCTCTTGCAGATTCTACAAAAAGAGTGTTTCAAAACTGCTCTTTGCAAAGAAAGGTTCAACTCTGTCAGTAGAGGGCACACATCACAAACAAGTTTCTGAGAATGCTTCTGTCTAGTTTTTATGGGAAGATATTTCCTTTTTCACCTTAGGCCTGAAAGCAATCCAAATGTTCACTTACAGACACTACAAAAAGACTGTTTCAAACCTGCTCTGTGAAAGGGAGTGTTCAATTCTGTGACTTGAATGCAAACATCACAAAGTAGTTTCTGACAATGCTGCTGTCTGCTTTTCATACGTATTCCCGTTTCCAACGAAATCCTCCAAGCTGGCCTAATACCCACTTGCATATTCCACAAAAAGAGTGTTTCAAAACTGCTCTCTCAAAAGAAAGGTTCAACTCTGTTTGCTGAGTAGATACATCATGAAAAAAGTTCTGACATTGCTTCCATCTAGTTTTTATTGGAAGATATCTCCTTTTTCACCGTAGACCTGAAAGCGCTCCAAATGTCCACTTCCAGATAGTACAAAAAGAGTGTTTCAAACCTGCTCTATGAAAGGGAATGTTCAACACTGGGACTTCAATTGAAACATCCCAAAGCAGTTTCTGAGAATGCTTCTGTCTAGAGTTTACATGAAGACATTCCCGTTTCCAACGAAATCCTCAAAGCTATCCAAATATCCTCTTGCAGATTTTACAAAAAGTGTGTTTCAGAACTGCTCTATCAAAACAAAGGTTCAACACTGTCAGTTGAGGGCACACATCACAAATAAGTTTCTGAGAATGCTGCTGTCTGCTTTTTGTATGTAATCCCGTTTCCAACGAAATCCTCCCAGCTAGCCAAATATCCACTTGCAGATTCCGCAAAAAGAGTGTTTCAAAACTGCTCCTTCAAAACGATGGTTTAGTTCTGTTAGTTGAGTACATACATCACAGATAAGTTTCTGAGAATGCTTCTGTCTAGTTTTTATGGGAGGATATTTCCTTTTTCAACACAAGCCTGAATGCGCTCCGAATGGACACTTCCAGATATGACAAAAGGCGTGTTTCAAACCTGCTCTCTCAAAGGGAATGTTCAACTCTGTGACTTCAATGCAAACATCACAAAGAAGTTTCTGAGAATGCTCTGCTGTCTGCTTTTTACATGTATTCCCGTTTCCAACGAAATCCTCAAAGCTGCCCTAATATCCACTTGCATATTCCACAAAAAGAGTGTTGCAAAACTGCTCTCTCAAAAGAAAGGTTCAACTCTGTTTGCCAGGCACGAGCCACCATGCCTGGACTTCACTGGTGAATGCTATTAAACATTTAAAGAATTAATACCAATGTTTCACAAACTTTTCCAATAAATAGATGAAGAAGGAAAACTTTCCAATTCATTTTATGAACCCACTATTATCCTGATGACAAATGCGTCACAAGAAAAGAAAACCACACACTAATATCTCTTATGATATAGATGCAAAAATCCTCCACGATATACTGGCAAACTAAATTCAGCAACATATAAAAAGGG